>NW_025791789.1:300000-569668 GCF_000001405.40 Homo sapiens
TCTTACCCTCTAGGTGCTGAGTTCAAACAACATACAGCTTTTCCTTCCTGTGGGGATTTTCTAAATTCTGACCCATAGCTGTGGCTGCACACAAAGTAGAGAGCCTGAAGAAAAGAAACTGGGGGTCGGTGTTCCTCATATATTTAGAATAGATGAATTATAAAATTCCAAAATTAATAATATTGTATTAATTTAAATATTATGATGTGTAATACCTTTTAGAACTATCTGAAACATGCATACTAGAAAATAAAAATTAAGTAGAAACAAAAGCAATGTTTTTGATAAAGGTAAAATAAAGTCGCTGGGGGCAGTGGCTCACACCTGTAATCCCAGCACTTTGGGAGGCCGAGGCAGGTGGATCATGAAGGTCAGGAGATCGAGACCATCCTGGCTAACATGGTGAAACCTCGTCTCTACTAAAAATACAAAAAATTAGCCGGGCGTGGTGGCAGGCGCCTGTAGTCCCAGCTACCCAGGAGGCTGAGGCAGGAGAATGGCATGAATCCGGGAGGCGGAGCTTGCAGTGAGCTGAGATGGGGCCACTGCACTCCAGCCTGGGCGACAGAGCGAGACTCCGTCTCAATAAGTAAATGAATAAATGAATAAATAGAGTCACATTTTTGCATTAAAGGCAAATATCCAAATAATCTAAATTATGTCCACACAAAATGGATAAGCAAGGTGATTGAAAGCCGTATATTGATTAATTGTCCAAAGGATGTATAATGATGCTATCTCTAGTATAATAACAATAACATTGATAACACATATCCGGGCACTCAAGACATTTTATTTTAAAAACTAGCCTAGGCTACTCCTACTGGTGATAATTAGATCAGATATGCAGAATACGAAACAATTAGAATTGGTAGATAAATACAACAAAAGCTTACAAACCTAGCCTAGCTCCAATAATCTATGAGAAGCCTCAAGGAAAAAAATAAAAAAGGAACAGAAACCCAGAACGGGAAAGCTGATCAGCAAGCAAAAGCTATCCTCACAATGTTTGCTAATTAAGATGATCACGGTCACTTGTGTTTTAATGACCAAAACCGAGGGGACAGGAGACAAGACCTTAGGCTTGAGACAATCCATAGAGCTACAACTATTGAAGGCCCACTTTCTTTTTCTTTTCTTTCTTTTTTCTGCGCTCTGTCACCCAGGCTGGAGTGCAGTGGCACAATCTTGGCTCACTGCAAGCTCCGCCTCCTGGGTTCACACCATTCTCCTGCCTCAGCCTCCTGAGTAGCTGGGACTACAGGTGCACACCACCATGCCCGGCTAATTTTTTGTATTTTTTTAGTAGAGACGGGGTTTCACCGTGTTAGCCATGATGGTCTTGATCTCCTGACCTCATGATCCACCTGCCTCCGCCTCCCAAAGTGCTGGGATTACAGGCATGAGCCACCGTGCCCAGCATGAAGGCCTACTTTCATAGGGAAATGATCTAGGAAAAAGAAAACAAAAAAATCTTCTTGCCAGTGAAAGGAGATAAGTTCTCAGCCTCAGTTTGGAGTCTGGGTGGCAAAAGAGAAAAATGTCTCTTCTGAGAAATTTTTATTCAAAAACTTGTCTTCATACTGGTTTGGGATTTAATTTTAAATGTATTTGTATAGTCAAGGAAAACTTTAAGTGCATAAATTAAATGTCTTCTGATTATTAACAACTCAGGTGCTTGGATGAAACACAGGCAATCCTGTAAGAGGGACTGACCCTCGAAATATTTATTACTCACCATGAAGTTATACAGACACTAAGACCAAATGAACATGTAAACCACACAATGAAGAGTCAACATAAACAACAAACAACAAAATGCAACCAGAAGGCATTTTAGACCTTATAATTTTCAGATATAGGATCAAAATATGTATAGGCTTAAACTCTTTAAGGAAACAAATAGGGTGTCAAATTGTGAGCAGGAATTGGGAGATGAACAAAATCAATCAGCAAGATTCTTAAAAAAATAAAAAATATAAATATAAACATTAGAATTATGGGATGAGCTAATATGCATGTTAATAGCCATAGCAATGCTATCAAACAAAGCCACTTCCTCCAAAAATGGGGTCTTTACTTGTTCGGTGCTGCAAAGGCAATACACAAAACTGAAGGTGAGCACCAAGCAGTGCAAGCTTTACTTGATGGCCGTGGACTTGAGAAGGAGAAGCATGGCTCACAAATCACTTCTCGACTAATGAGAGGTGAGGAGGTTAAAATAAAATACAGGGTTTCTCTAATGAAGGGATTGGACATTAAAAGCAAGGGGAAGAATATTCATGCATTTTCCAGGAATGAGCAGCAACTTCACAGAACTCCTAGTGCCACCTTCCTTTTTGAACTTTTATGACTTCTGGTCAGCGTCATGATGATTGTCAAGTGTCATGACACCAGTGGAAGTGTCTTTTTTTCTTTTCTTTCCTTTTTTTCTTGGCGATGGAGTCTCACTCTGTCACCAAGGTTGGAGTGCAGTGGCACGACCTGGGCTCACTGCAACCTCCGCTTCCCGGGTTCAAGCAATTCTCCTGCCTCAGCCTCCCAAATAGCTGGGACTACAGGCGCACGCTGCCACGCCTGGCTATATTTTTTGTATTTTTAGTAGAGATGTGGTTTCACTGTGTTACCCAGGCTGGTCTCGAACTCCTGAACTCAGGCAATCTGCCCGCCTCGGCCTTCCAAAGTGCTAGGATTTCTTTTCTATTTTAAGAGATGGGGCCTTGCTCTGTTGCCCAGGCTTTAGTGCAGTGGTGCAATCATGGCTCGCTGCAGCCTTGAACTCCCGGGCCTAAGTGATCCACCCCCTTTAGCCTTCTGAGTAGCTGAGACGATAGGTGTGTGACACCACACTTGGGTAATTTAAAATTTTTTTTTTTTTTTTTTTTTTTTGTGGAGACCAGGTCTTATTCTGTTGACCAGGCTGGTCTCAAATTCTTGTGCTCAAGCAATCCTCCTACATTGGCCTCCCAAAGGGCTCGGATTACAGGGATGTACAACCATGCCTGGCCAGGAGTGCCATTTAGCATGGAAATGAGATTATAATGAAGCCTGAGGCTTTAGCTATCCTGGTTCTAACAAGTGTCAGTGGGTCTGGTTACAAAGGGAACTTCCTAGAGCAAGTGTCATGTTTTTTAAAGATAAGCAGAGTTAGGGCAGTGTGGAAATTCAGCTATGTCATGGCAGCATGCTACCACTTAACAGTAATATCTGAAAAATTAGTAACATGGAAATTTTTTGTACATTTTAGACAGATCATATAAAAATACAAAGAAATAATATATGTGATAAATATCAAGTTACATATAAAGTAGAATAAAAATGGCTAAACTATACTGGTTACTTTTTATTTCATGAATTGAACTCAACAGGATATAAGGATTGAGCATCTGCCTTTATATGCATATAGTCCAATTCAAACACAAACTGTGCAGTGGAATAACAAGGAGAAATTGACAAATTTGACAAATCTATCCATGATGGTAGATATCAATGTATCTCCCTCATGAATAAAGAGTTTAATTAGACATAATGTAAAGAAGAATACAAGTAATTTAAGGAACATAATGAATAAGACTGATATAATAAACATGCACAGAACTCTGAACCTCCAAGTCAGTGACTACTCATTTTTCACAAGTACACATGGACAGTTCATTAAAATTGAGCATTCACTGGCTAAAGAGCAAGACTCTTGTCTACAATACAATTAAATTAGTAATCAATCAACAAAATCAAAATCCTAATTTTTTTACATTTTAAATATACGTATAAATAATGGATCAAGAAGAAATAAAAAATTTAAACACAAAACCTATAACTTAGAACTTATACATCAGCTGAAGGAGAAATACAAAGTTAAAATAAACAATATGTATTAGTCCATTTTCACACCGCTATAAAGAACTAGTTGAGGCCGGGCGTGGTGGCTCACGCCTGTAATCCCAGCACTTTGGGAGGCCGAGGCGGGCAGATCACAAGGTCAGGATCCTGATCGAGACCATCATGGCTAACACGGTGAAACCTCGTCTCTACTAAAAATACAAAAAATTGGCCGGGCGTGGTGTCGGGCACCTGTAGTCCCAGCTACTCGGGAGGCTGAGGCAGGAGAATGGCGTGAACCCGGGAGGCGGAGTTTGCAGTGAGCCGAGATCACGCCACTGCACTCCAGCCTGGGTGACAGAGCGAGACTCCGTCTCAAAAGAAAAAAAAAAAAACTACTTGAGAGTGGATAACTTACAAAAAAAAAAAAAGAGATTTAATTAACTCACACTTCCACAGGCTTAACAGGAAGCATGACAGGGAGGCCTCAGGAAACCTACAATCATGGCAGAAGGTGAAGGGGAAGCAAGGATCTTCTTCACGTGGTGGCAGGAGAGAGAGAGAGAACAGGGAAGTGCCACACACGTTTAAACCATGAGATCTCATGAGAACTCACCCACTCTCACAGAACAGCAAGGGGGAAATCCACCCCCATGATCCAATTACCTCCCACCAGACCCCTCCTCCAATTCCACCTGAGATTTGGGCAGGGACACAAATCCAACCCATATCACAATAATAATTTAAAATAGAGTTAGTTGTTAAAAATAGAGCCACAAGATACACATCAGAGCCATGTGATCTTATACCCAAATAACAGTGTTCAAGAAATAGTAAATTTTCATCTTTTAATAAATTAGAAAAAGACTCCTCGATTTGAGAAGCTAGCATACCATTGATAACAAAACAAATCGTAGAATGGTAAAGTAAAATTAGAGAACATTTCCAGTTAGGAATATGGATATAAATACCCTGTGTACCACAAAATATTAAAGAAAGCATCCTGGTGGAGAAGGAAGGAGGGATGGATAGGTGGAGCATAAGGGACTTTGAAGGCAGCCATAATATTTTGTCTGATACTGCAATAGTGGATACATGACATTATAAATTTGTCAACACCCATAAAATTCTATAACACAGACTGAACCCTAAAGTATGGATTTCAGTTAATAATAGTGTATCAATGTTGGTTCATCAATTGTAACACATGCATCACCCTAACGCAAAGTGTTATAGAAAATACAAATTATAGAGAAACGGGGAGGAAGGGAGGTATATATACTCTTTGTACTTTCTCTTCAAATTTTTTAAAACGTGAAACTACTCTAAAAAATAATGTCTATCAAAAAATTATGATCAATTTCAGTTTATCCTAGGAAAGCAAGGATAAGTTAATAAGTATATATATATACATATATATAAATTTAATAATCTATACTAACAAATCATTACAGAAAATCATACGCATTTTAGTAGACACCAAACTAACTTGTAATTCATAAAAGAATGTCTGAGTAACCTGTGGCCGGGAGTGGTGGCTCACGCCTGTAATCCCAGCACTTTGGGAGGCTGAGGTGGGCGGATCACGAGGTCAGGAGATCGAGACCATCCTGGCTAACACGGTGAAACCCCGTCTCTACTAAAAATACAAAAAAAATTAGCAGGGCATGGTGGTGGGCACCTGTAACCCCAGCTACTCGGGAGGGTGAGGCAGGAGAATGGCATGAACCTGGGAGGCAGAGCTTGCAGTGAGCTGAGATGGCATCACTGGACTCCAGCCTGGGCGACAGAGCGAGACTCCGTTCCGTCTCAAAAAAAAAAAAGAATGTCTGAGTAACCTAACAGTACAAGTAAAGTTATTACCAGAAATATACAGAAAGCATCAAGGTGAAATATAAGAATTATTCCATTTGAAAGGGGTATGATATGCACAAAGATGAAAATTGAGCTCCTATAAAATAACATAAGGATTTGAAATAAAGACACAAAACTTACTGTTTAGAGTTAGTATCATTGACTATAAAAACCAAGACAATCTTAATTATAACAATGAGGAAGATAACAGAAATTCAGAATATCAAAAATATTTTTATGTAGAAATAAAAACAAAACATTTAATTTTAGAAATATATTATTTAATGCATTTTTGTTACATGTGTAGTGATAAAATAATAAAATAAATTTAGAAAGAAATATATTATTTAATAAGATATAAAAATCTGAGGACCAATACAGTATTGTGGTTAAAACCATGGATTTTGACAGGAACTCCTTTGCTTAAAATTGTGACTCATCACTAAGAGTATAATGGTGAATAAGTTACTTAACGTTCCTTTGCACCCCTTTTCTTATCTAAAACAAATATGAAAGGGATCTGACTCATAGCAGCGTTCTGAGTAATATAACAGACATACATAAAACCACTAAAACAATGCTTGGCACATAGTTAATGATTATTCACTACCATTATTACCATCGTTGTCATTTTATTATGCAATTTAATGTTTGTTCTTCGGTAAGCAATGAATAAGAAATATTAAAAGGTAGAAGCGTGTATAGGTGGGATACGTATCAACATACATATGTATAGGCGTGTATACATATCAACTACATAGAGGGTTCAAATCAGGTGAAATTACCTGCATGAATCAACTCTATTCTGGTATCCATATTCAGTAAAAAGCTATCTTTGAAATTGTGACTAACCTCTGAAAACAACAATGGCCCATTTGATCCTTTCCTCGTGTATGGTAAAATCTTGACCACGTGGAAAACACATTCTCCTAACTTCCCTTGATGTTGGAGACCATCAGGCAAATTACAATAATTCAGAATATCATACTATGCAACAGAGTTCCTATTCTAATCTGGGTACCTGATCATCAGCACTGGTCATAAATTCCGTGGTCCTTAAGAGAGTAAAGCTAAAAGGGATGCATCAGGGAGTAATAAAAACAAATGCATTATGCTATGAAACGTTAACTGAAGCATTGTTCCTCCCTGATCCTTGAAGACTGAAAGCTCAAATTCAACTTTATACTTTGATGAAAATAAAGACAATTGTGGTTTCGATTTCTTTTTTTTTTTTTTTTGAGATGGAGTCTCATTCTGTTGCCCAGGCTGGAGTGTAGTGGCGCGATCTTGGCTTACTGCAACCTCTGCCTCCTGGGTTCAAGCGATTCTCCTGTCTCAGCCTCCCATGTAGCTGGGACTATAGGCACCCGCCACCGCACCCAGCTAATTTTTGTATTTTTAGTAGAGACAGGGTTTCACCATATTGGTCAGGCTGGTCTCAAACTCCTGACCTCAGGTGATCAGCCCCCCTCAGCCTCCCAAAGTGTTGGGATTACAGGAGTGAGCCACTGCACCTGGCCGCTTTCAAATTTTTGATGATCCATTTACAGGCAGTGTGTAAGAATTTTACCGAATGTCTCTGAATATGAGTTTTTCTCATACATAAAATAGAAATAGCAATTCATATCTCTTAATGTTATTTTGAATTAAAAGAAAAAATATAATCACCATTTATGCTGAACACAAAGTAAGGGCTCAAAACTAATTTCTTTTCCCCAGTCATTTCTAGACAGTTAATATCATAGATCAAAAAATTTAAATCAGATTGAAAATGAGTATTGGAAATACGGGACAAACATTTAATCTTAGAACAAATATGACAAAGTTTCTTCTAGCCAGAGATATCTATGTGATGATCATTTACACACACACATACACACACACACACACACACACACACACACATCAAAACTGAAAACTCTCCGGACTATATATGGTTTCTCATTGTAAAAGCAAGTAGACATATTCATTTTCAGAATTTATATTCAGAATGTAAAATTTCAATGTGTTTTGCCTGAGTTATTATGCAGGTTTTGAGAAAATCTCATTTATGACTATATGTTTCAAGAATCGATGGGCTCCAGGGCCGACAATGCCCTAGCGGAAATCATTACCTGCCAGGGATGAAACAGCACTGCATCTACATTTTCCTCATATCCCACTGTATTTCTAAAAGCAGCACTTAGCATAGGGGATTGGCTGCACACGCAGCATCATAGATGGACTTAATGAAATCAGATGCAATCCAGTCAAAGCAACGCAAAGGCACAGGACCCAAGAAAGCATTTCGTGGGCATCCTCCCAGGGTTTCACAGCCAGAATCAGAAAGGAAGCAATCCAAGGAAAAAAGCCACGGTTTATTATGGAAAATGTGTTCTGGGTGTACGGAAGGGCTAACTGTCTGAACAAAATGCTGAAAGCCAGGCATCTCACTGTTCTGCTTTGAAAAAGTGAGAGTCCCATGGAATGGATTAAGTATGAAACTTCCCCCATGTGTGATAAAGTCCCACTGGGAGGTGGTAACACACGCTTTCCATGTTTTCAAAGTGTTCCATCCCAGAACGTCAGGAGGATTAGGGGGTCTGTGTCACCACAGACAGCAGTCACATTTGTTGATGGATCTTCAGTCTTGGCCAATGTTATCCTGCCTGCTGATGGCAGAACACCCTCCAAGACAGTTTCTTTGTAAAGCCTGAATAGATGCTTTCCCTGGCCACTTCTCTCAGTTCCTAGAAAAAATGCCCACCTTTTTTTTTTTTTTTTTTTGAGACGGAGTCTAGCTGTGTCGCCCAGGCTGGAGTGCAGTGGTGCAATCTCGGCTCACAGCAACCTCTGCCTCCCAGGTTAAAGCGATTCTCCCACCTCAGCCTCCTGAGTAGCTGGGATTACAGGCATGCACCACCATACCCAGCTAATTTTTCTATTTTTAGTAGAGACGGGGTTTCTCCATGTTGGTCAGGCTGGTCTCGAACTCCCGACTTCAGGTGATCCACCCGCCTTGGCCCTCCAAAGAGCTGGGATTACAGGCGTGAGCCACCGTGCCTGGCCAAAAATGCCCACCTTTTATGTCATCTGAGACAAGCAGCCCTACCAGGTCTAGCTAAAATGCTGCAACAGCTTCACCATGCCAAGAGGCAAAGATGATTCCTTGGGACCATCTGATACAGAGATGGAAACTGTCCTTCATCACTAGGCAAAGGATCAAATGGACATAACTAATCTTAGAGGAAAAGGAAAAACAATATCCATTTGTATTCAGAAGTGATTTGAGGGAGAAGGGCACAAACACAATACATCAGGCACTTCACTTTCTACTCCTAGAAGAAATTCAAAGCTAGCAAGTAAATTACTAGAGAAATTGATGAACGTGTGTAAAGGCAAAATGCTCAGAGTTTTTCTTAACAAGAGTTAAAACTGTACTCAACTCATTCATGAGAAAACCATTTTGAAGACAAAAGTCCTGATTTGTAGAACATTTGAAGAGCAAGGTTTCATATAGCCATTGGCAAACAGGTAAGCTACAATAAAATTTCTAAGAAACATACAAAACTGGTTAATATTATCTAGGGTAATAAAATTGTAAACAAAGTTTCTTCTCTGCCAGCATCCCTTCCCCTCCCCAAAATCTCAGTTTACCAAATCTCCCTATAAGCTAATCTGTGGGTTTACAGGGCTATAAAAATTCCAATTTTGACTATTAGTCAAGGAAACGATTCTGGAGAGAGTCAGAGGATGGTCAAAAATTCTTCGCAAAGCCGGGTGCAGTGGCTCACGCCTGTGATCCCAGCACTTCGGGAGGCTGAGGTGGGCGGACCACCCGAGGTTGGGAGTTCGAGACCAGCCTGACCAACATGAAGAAACCCCGTCTCTACTAAAAATACAAAAATTAGCCAGGCGTGGTGGCACATGCCTGTAATCGCAGATACTCGGGAGGCTAGGGAAGGAGAATCACTTGAACCCGGGAGGCGGAGGTTGCTGTGAGCTGAGATCGCGCCATCGCACTCCAGCCTGGGCAACAAGAGGGAAACTCTGTCTCAAAAAAAAAAAAAAATTCTTCGGAGATATAGCAGTTAGATAATAACAGCATGATAGTAAAGAATAAAGCAATTATTATTTCACCATTTTGAAGTTGAAGATACTACATTTTCTTTTGGAAAGGGGAAGATTTACTTGTTCATTTTTTTAAATGTATCATCTTCCCTCTGGGAAAAATTAATCTGGAAAGTAAGTGTTCAGATATAGAGTTCCCAGAGCTGGCCTGGCTGTGCCAGCCAGGGATGCCTCACTGCTGCCCATCTCATTCTGTCTCCTTCTTACCCTAAATAAACACTGGCAGTGCAAGGACTTTCTGTCACCTTTGGGGGCTTCAAAGACTGTTCTGAGCCACCTTTTGTTGACATGCCTTGTAATAACAGCAAAGGACATTCAATGTCATCTCTGACCCACCCCATCCTGTCTCACCTGTGGTAGTTTGTAGATTTCCATCAACATCTCCAACTGAGAAACAAATGCTGATATAGTTCCTTCAATCGCTGCTATGGATTTGCTCTGCCTCTCACATGTATAATTGGGAAGGTTCTCGGCCCCTCCTGACAGCCAAAACAGAGGGCCCTCCAAAGTCCTCTGATCAGTGTTGCAGGCATTGTAGACGTGATACCCCAAAGACATGTTGAGTAAGAGCAGCGGGCCCCTGTTGATCTCCTCGATGGCAAAAACGAACACGAAAAGAGTCAAAATGCATGTTTAGAGGACAAACTCTCACACCTCCCACTCAAGGCCTCACAAAAGCCATCTCTACCCTGACCTGAGCATGTGAAAATGAGGTACACAAGACTCAGAGAGCCGTGAATTAGCTGAGTACCAGAGGATAAATCAGTATGCAAAGAGTACAATTTAAGACACTGCAATTTAATGGTGAGTTGGGTTTCCAAAGGAGTCAGTATGGCAGGACTTCAAGGGCGTTTATTCACTTTGTTTACCAAGAAACTAACGAGTGGCTGAAATTGAAACTAAAGTAGACAGTGGGCGTGGGATAAGAAAGGATATTGAGGATAAAAGATCAGGGTCCATATAAGAGGCCAGGCTGGACAAGGAATCAGAGAGGGCAGGTAAGAAAGGAGAATGTATTTTGGAGGAAATGGCCTCACACATTGGCTGGGTTGCGGATGCTTAAACATCATTTGGTTGTGCCTCTTGGGTCAGAAAAAATAAATCCAGGCTTTAGAGTCCTTAGAAAAGAGTGGGGAAGCATGGCATTGTAATGATTCTGGGAGAAGCATAAAGAGGCCAACAATGACTAATCACAAGCAAAGAAAATTCTAAAAGCATTGTGGCCTTTAAAAAAAAATTTATATCACCCAAATACCTCAAGCAATGCTGGCAAGAGCTAAATTCAATTTTCCTTCACTCTTTTTCTGACTTACAGGCAGCCTCATTTCATGTTGAAATGCCTCCCTTCCCCAAAGTTGCAGGATAAGCACAATCCCAACAAATGACCCAATAGAACAAGGACTGCCTTCAGCTATGTTGTTCTTTCTAATTTTCAGTGGAAAAAGCAAATTCTTAAAGGTCTTCAAGAGGTAGAAGGGCTGTAGGAGGCATTCGGGTATTATAATAATTGCAGATTCTATGGTAGCCTACGTATAATATTGTGTGTGATATTCTCAAGCCCACTGCTAAGTACGCATAAATATCCACACTTCATATGTGGTAATATTTCCTGAAATAGGATAAATGCAAGATAAATTCTAAGCCCAAATTTAAATGCACTTCTGACTTTAAAACTTGTTATTTCTTATATATCCTTTGACCTCCTTAGAACTGACATTTAACTCCCTAAAAAAATACTAGAGCTTGTTAGTCAGGCAAACTACATTTACTAGACTTACTAGTACTCTCATTGAAGAAACAGTGAGTATATTAGTCCATTCTCACATTGCTATCCAGACACACCCAAGTCTGGGTAATTTATTATTTATTTATTTATCTGAGGCAGAGTCTTGCTCTGTCACCCAAGCTGGAGCGCAGTGGCGCGATCTCGGCTCACTGCAAGTTCCACCTCCCAGGTTCAAGTGATTCTCCTGCCTCAGCCTTCCAAGTAGCTGGGATTACAGGTGTGCACCACCACGCCTGGCTAATTCCATGCCTGGCTCTCTTACTGTAAATGAGAATAAGAAAGAATATACTCTGCTCAAAGTCTTAGTATAATAGCATGTCTCAAAATAGAAAATTGGGCAGAGTGTTCATAGGGTTTCAGAGACTCAGCTGGATGTTAAAATCACCCAGGGTCTAGGCTGGGTGCAATGGCTCATGCCTGTAATCCCAGCACTTTGGGAGGCCGAGGCGGGTGGATCACAAGGTCAGGAGATGAAGACCATCCTGGCTAACACCGTGAAACCCCATCTCTACTAAAAATACAAAAAATTAGCCGGGTGTGGTGGCGGGTGCCTGTAGTCTCAGCTACTCGGGAGGCTGAGGCAGGAGAATGGTGTGAACCCAGGAGGCGGAGCTTGCAATGAGCCAAGATCACACCACTGCACTCCAGCCTGGGTGACACAGTGACACTGTCTCAAAAAAAAAAAAAAAATTCACCCAGGGTCTTACAAGGAGCAGAACAAGTTGGGACTAATCAGAGTTTCTGATATAACAGCTGTGTACTGCAGGAGCTAGCTAAGTCTTAAAGCAAACCTTAATAAATCAGCTCTTAGTCCAATAAGTAAGTTGTTGAATTGGTTCAGCCTTTTTTTTTTTCCAGGAGCAGTTATTCCCTGCAACAAGCAGTTTTTTTTTCACTTGTTCTTGGTGTTGTTCATCAAAAATAGGACAGTGTGCTTAATCTCAAGACTGTTTAGCACAGAGAGGGATAGAGTATGTTGGCCTCAAAAACTGTTGAACATTATGACAGGAAACTATGCAGGTTTGTAGCATTATTGAACACAAGAACAATACATTATTTCCATATTTTTGGATTGACAATTGTTAAGGTCAGAAATGTTTGTTTACCCGTGGAATAGATCATTAGGATAGTGGCAAATGTTCATAGGCCATAGGACATGACAGACATTAGCCTAAACCTAAAAGAAACTAAACAAACTAAACTCTAACCAGTGAAAGATTTCCATTTAAAAACAAAGAAACTATTTTCATTTTAGTTCTCAAAAAATACTTAGAAAAGTAGAAATTACTGGAGTTTAGATGACAATATATTGAAGCTCAAAACAAAAATAAAATTTAACTCCTAACATGCGTACACACGCACGCACATAAAAAACTCACATGTGTGGCCGGGCGCAGTGACTCATGCCTGTAATCCCAGCACTTTGGGAAGCCGAGGTGGGCGGATCATGAGGTCAAGAGATCGAGACCATCCTCATCAACATGGTGAAACCGTGTCTCTACTAAAAATACAAAAATTAGCTGGGCGTGGTGGTGCATGCCTATAGTCCCAGCTACTCGGAAGGCTGAGGCAGGAGAATCATTTGAACCTGGGAGGTGGTGGTTGCAGTGAGCTGAGATTGCACCACTGCACTACAGCCTGGCGACAGAGCCAGACTCTGAAAAAAAAAAAAAAAAAAAAAAAAAACACCTCATGTGCACATGCAAATGCACACAAGTATAGATGGAGGCATCTATCAGTAAATACACGTATTACTCAGACCTGGTGGGTTATCTCCACGGCCTGTCCAAAATCCTGGGGGATTATAATCCTATCCACCAAATTCTTCCTCTGTGTTGATTTAGATTTTCTAAAAAGAGAATGATACTTAAATTGATAACTATAATTTGGACAGATTAACATAGCAAAGTAAAATATTTTGAAAAATAATTGCTTAACCATAATCATTTTTTTAGTAATTTTATTTTGAAATTCTTATGGACTCCTAAGTTTTCTCCACTGTCATCTTCTACATGACTGTAAACAAGGTAGAGGTGTTTGAGACATGGTAGGCCTTTCATTTTGTTTTTATTTTTGCTTTTTAGCAATTATGGTTATAAACTGCCTTGAATCCTTGGGCTGAAAAGCAAAATGTTTTGAGATGCTTAGAGTTTTAAGGAATTTGATCTGAATTTGAAGAAGGCATTTTAGTTTATACCAATGCTCACTGGTATGGTTTGAATCTGTGCTTCTGCCCAAATCTCATGTCAAATTGTAATCCCCAGTACTGGAGGTGGGGCCTGGTGGGAGGTGACTGGATCATAGGGGCGGTTTCTCATGAATGGTTTAGAACCATCCCCTTGGTAATCTTCTAGTGATAGTGAGTTCTAAGGAGATCTGATTGTTGAAAAGTGTGTGGCACCTCCCTCCACATTGGTCCTGCTCCTGCCATGAGAGACATCTGGCTACTGCTTTGCCTTCTGCCATGACTGTAAATTTCCTGAAGCCTCTGCAGAAACTGAGCAGATGCCAGCATCATGCTTCCTGTGCAGTCTGTGGAACCATGAGCCAATCACACCTCTTTTCTTTACAAATTACCCAGTCTCAGCGGGGTGCACTGGCTCACAGCTGTAATTCCAACATTTTGGGAGGCAGTGGCATTCCTCACTTGAGGTCAGGAGTCCAAGACCAGCCTGGCCAACATGGTGAAACCCCACCTCTACTAAAAATACAAGAATTATCCTGGCATGAAGGTGCACACCTGTAATCCCAGCTACTCAGGAGGCTGAGGCAGAAGAATTGCTTGAACCTGGGAGGCAGAGGTTGTAGTGAGCCAAGATCATGCCACTGCACTCCAGCCTGGGCAACAGAGCAAGTCTTAAATAAATAAATAAATAAATAAATAAATAAATAAATAAATAAATTTAAAAAATAAATTACCCAGTCTCAGGTATTTCTTGATAGCAATGAGAGAATGAACTAATATACTCACTCACTATTTCTTCAATGAGAGTACTAATCTTTGTACTGGTAAGGAAAATAAAATATTTTCAAGCCAAAAGCATGAGATTTGGGAGAAATATAAATTTATACCAGAAATGTATAGTAAATTTTTCTTACAAATTGATATTTAATGAAATTTGCATAGATTTTTATCTCCTACATGTCAAATTTCATAAAGCATATATATATATATATATATATATATAGTTTTTTTTTTGAGACAGAGTCTCACTCTGTGCTCCAGGCTGGAGTGCAGTGGCGCGATCTCGGCTCACTGTGCGCTCTGCTTCCCGGGTTCACGCCATTCTCCTGCCTCAGCCTCCAGAGTAGCTGGGATTACAGGTGCCCGCCACCACACCCAGCTAATTTTTCTATTTTTAGTAGAGACGGGGTTTCACCATGTTAGCCAAGATGGTCTCGATCTCCTGACCTCGTGATCCGCCTGCCTCGGCCTCCCAAAGTGCTGGGATTACAGGCGGGAGCCACCGTGCCAGGCCCATAAAGCATATTTAAAAAATAAGTGATTTTAATTAAAATAAGAAACTTGAATTCAGACCAGTATTTAAATCCAATCCCAGAAATGAACATTAGTTACCGAGAGGCAAAAATATTTAAGGAATCAAATGGGCCTAGAAATATTTAGTGTTTTGCCTTGGATAACTGCATTATTTGCAATGAACCTTCAAAAATCATGTAGTAGGTAATCCCGGTTAACCTAAATTAAATTGTACCCAGATTGATTGATAGCACCTGCCCATTTTCTAGATAATGGCAGCCATCCACTGAGGAGAGGAACTGCCTACCGTGACTGGGAAGAGTGAATGAGAACTTTATTGTAAAAACTCAAAGTACCCAGTGAAGTTTGAGATAATATTTGAGTCATTCATTCATTCATTCATTCTTTTAACACATATCCAGTGTCTTGTATGCGCCCAGGCACACAATATTCTAGCAAGAAGTTTTATAAAAGTGAGTAAGATAGATTAAAAATTCCTGCTCTAGTTTTATTTGCAATGCATTTAGGGGAAACATTTTTTTAAAGTAAGGCACAGGTGAATTCTGGGGAGACGGGCTGGGCACGGTGGCTCACGCCTGTAATCCCAGCACTTTGGGAGGCTGAGGAGGGCGGATCACAAGGTCAGGAGATCGAGACCATCCTGGCTAACACGGTGAAACCCTATCTCTACTAAAAATATAAAAAAAGTTAGCTGAGCGTGGTGGCGGGCGCCTGTAGTCCCAGCTACTGGGGAGGCTGAGGCAGGAGAATGGCGTGAACCTGGGAGGCGGAGCTTGCAGTGAGTCGAGATTGCGTCACTGCACTCCAGCCTGGGCGACAGTGTGAGACTTTGTCTCAAAAAAAAAAAAAAAAAAAAAGAGTGATGTGATTGGATCAGTTAGTGTGAGTGGAGGATGTAGAGACAGGAGGGTGAGAGGGGAACCTGCAGAAAGAGGACTCCTCTCCTCACTCCCGTCTGTGGCAAGAGCATCCCTGCCCCCACTCTGAGCGCACTCCCCCGCCTCTGCTTTGCTTCAGTCACTTGCATGGTTAGAAACCCCATTTTACGCCGACCGCGTGACTCACGTCTGTAATCCCAGCACTTTGGGAGGCGGAGGTGGGCGGATCACGAGGTCAGGAGATCGAGACCATCCTGGCTAACACGGTGAAACCCCGTCTCTACTAAAATACAAAAAATTAGCCGGGCGTCCTGGCAGGCGCTTGTAGTCCCAGCTAGCTACTCGGGAGGCTGAAGCAAGAGAATGGCGTGAACCCGGGAGGCGGGAGGCAGTGAGCCGAGATCACGCCACTGCACTCCAGCCTGGGCGACAGAGCGAGACTCCATCTCAAAAAAAAAAAAAAAAAGAAAAAAAAAGAAAGAAACCCCATTTTACCTTAGGCTCACGGGGCACAGACTAGGTCAAATGAGCATTCCATTTTCGTTTTTAAATGTCTAATGTTCTTTCATACAGCACCCTTGGTAAATATTTTATAAAGAGGATTAGAATATGTATTGTTACTAAACAGAATATGTAGTGGAGGAACACTCTTTCTCAATATTAGCTAATAAATATGTATTTTTAATAAGCTGATTAAGGCTTTGTTAGTTTCTCAATGATAACATCGGGCCCATGGTTCTCAATCAGGGTATGATTTTGCCCCTCAGAGGACATTTTGCAATATCTGGAGGCATCTTCAGTTATTATAAGTGGAGCTGGGTGGGTGCTGCTGGCATCTCATGGAGAGAGACCAGAGATGCTGTTAAACATCCTATAATGCACAGGACAGGCCCCCACAACACAGAATTATCCAGCCTAAAATGTCACTAGTGCTGAGGGTGAGAAACTCTGACACATCTATTCAGTCATGTTCTGGCAACAGCCAATAAAGTCAGCAATTAAAAATTTGTATTGTAGGGCCAGGCGTGGTGGCTCACGCCTCTAATCCCAGCACTTTGAGAGGCCAAGGTGGGCAGATCACGAGGTCAAGAGATGGAGACCATCCTGGCCAACATGGTGAAACCCGTCTCTACTAAAAATACAAAAATTAGCTGGGCATGGTGACATGCGCCTGTAGTCATACTCAGGAGGCTGAGGCAGGAGAATATCTTGAACCCAGGCGGCGGAGGTTGCGGTGAGCCGAGATCGCACCACTGCACCCCAGCCTGGTGGCAGAGCGATACTCTGCCTCAAAAAAAAAAAAAAATTCATTGTATGAATATTCAAAATTATACATGATTGTAATTATAATTGAGTCATGAAGGCTGAAAATAAAGATAAATGAATGAAGCTTCATTTAAGTAGCAAAATGAAAGCCTCCCCATCCTCCATTATCCAACCAAGAGGAAGCATTTTACATTCCAATATTTGCAATGAGTGTTTTATTTTTGGTCGTTCATGAATAGCAAATAATTGATCTTACAGTCGGCATTAAATAAAGAAAGTTGGTCAGAAAAGCAACCCACTTAATCACCCTCGAACAAAAATTTTGCAAATTGTCCAAGTCATTCAGGTAAAATATTTATTTTAATAAAATCTCTATTATTTTCACTGGAACAAGCCAAGCCTTTCTTTTTCTGGAAGCATCTACCCCTCTTTCAGATTATACATATTTTAAAATAAATGAAACAACGTGGTTGCTGTCTCAGTAGCTTTGGATCATGTGCCTGGCACTCTGCATGCAGCAGTAACCTGTGTGGTTTCCTTGGGTAAAACTGAAAGCATATTTAATTTTTTAAAAGTTTCTTTTCTAATTTAAATCAAAATCTGCTTTTTCTATCAAACTTGTACATTTTACTGTACCATTTTTTTCTCAGCAAAGAATAGCTTTGATTCATGAATTTATCAGATTTATTAGAGATTTGGAGGGACTTGATGGTCACAATTTAGAAACAACTCATAAAGCCCTTAGCGATCCCTAACTTAATATTCTATGCTGATGATTGCAGAATGTGTAATAATCAAAACGGTAAATAAACTTTAAGTTTTAAGCCTCTTGGGTTTGGGGTTTGTTTGTTGGTATTGACAAAGATTGCTTGGTGAAACCTTAGTCAGTCAGCATCCCGAACCTTCTCCTAGGCCCATCTATGTATGTCCTTGTAAAATCCAGTTGTAGCAAAAATCCCCACTTAGTCAATTTAGCAAGCACCCCCATGCTGGATATCTGATCATCCTCCATATGAAATCAGGGTCTGCATCTTCCACTGTCCCCCAGGTGAGGTCTGATCACCCCCATCTGGCTTCGGCAGATTTAACCAGAATCCCCCTCACCCCTAATATTTCCTTCCTCTTAGTAACTTTTTATCCACTGACTCCCACACTGCTCCATAGCTACAAATTCCCACCTGCCCATGCTGTATTCAGGGTTAAGCTCAGTCTGTCTCCTCTCCTGCAATATTCTATTGCCTTGATGAATTTGTTAATTAAACATGACTTATTCATTTCACAATGTAAACATATATCAGAACATCACATTGTATCCCACACATATATGCAACTGTTATTTATACATTAAAAATAAGATTTTAAGAAGTCTAAAAACTAAAAAACACACACAAAAATTTAGGAAACAGCACACACACACACAATGGTAACTATATGAAATGATGGTTATGTTAATTATGTTGACTATGGTAATTATTTTACAATGTGTACATATACCAAATCACTATGTACTTTGAGTATATGTAAATTCGTATTTGTCTGTTACACTTCAATAAAGCTGGAAAAAAAATAGCAAACTGAATCCAACACTGTGTGAAAAGAATTATACACCATGACTAAGGGAGATTTATTCTGAGTATACAAGTGATAGGGACAGGATGCAGGGAAATTCTGGGCAGAAGAGGGTGGGTCCCCCAGGAGGGCCCCACCCTCAAGCCAAAAAGCCTCTGGACCACGGCCCAAAGTGAGAACTTACATCCCTGTTTTCCCCCTCGAATGTTGCCTTTTCCTAAACCACCCATGGCTCCACCTCCCATCCTGTGCCTATAAAAACCCCAGAGCTCAGCCGGCAGAAAGAGGAGATGCAGCTGGGCATTGGAGACTACGGCTAGACATCGGAGAGAAGCAGCTTGACTTCAGAGGGACATTAGAAGCAGCTTGATGGCGTAGCTTTGGAGAAGAGTCAGCTGCGGACAGCCAGACTCCAGGGGAAGATTACCTTCCTGCTCTGACCCCTTTTCAGCTCCCCTTCCTGTTGAGAGCCACTTTCAACGGCAATAAAATCCCCATTTACCATCTTCAATTTCTTTGTGCAACCTCATTCCTCCTGGATGTCAGACAAGAACTCAGGTGCCCTGAGTGTGGGTGCAAAAGGGTGTCACACTGACCCTCCACTGAGCTGTTAACACTTTAGCCCTCCATGAATGGCAAAGCTAAAAGGGCACTGTAACACTTTCTCTGGGGGTTCAGGGGTCGCGGGCACCCTCCCCTAGATGCTGCCACAGGGTCAGTACAGAGTTTACTCTTGCTGGTGCCCAAAAGCACTTGCCCCAGCTCCTACACCTACACCTGCGCTCCCCCTCCGGCGAGGGGTGGAGCAGCAAGTGAATGGAGTTCGCCCCTGCAGGCACTCATGCACTCCAGTTCCTACCCATGAAGGGGTCAGGGAAATATACTGCTTTACAAGTTTGACTCAACATTTGAAAATCATTTAATGCAACCCATCATATCAACAGCCTGAAGAAAATGAACCATATGTTCATACTGATTATATCAATGGAGGCAGCGAGAGAATTTGACAAAATCCAACATCCATTCATGATTTAAAAATTCTCAGCAAACTAAGATGGAGAGGAATATCCTCAACCTCAAAAAGAACATCTGTAAAAAAAAAAAAACCCTACAACTGATATCATAATTAATGGTG
Organism: Homo sapiens; assembly: GCF_000001405.40. Classification (NCBI taxonomy): domain Eukaryota; kingdom Metazoa; phylum Chordata; class Mammalia; order Primates; family Hominidae; genus Homo; species Homo sapiens. Next base: position 319,917 of record NW_025791789.1, read on the forward strand.
AGAATAAATGCTTTCCTGTAAAGATGCTAAGATCAGGAAGAAGGCAAGGGTGTCTTCTGTCAGTACTTCTATTCAAGTCATACCAGCAGACCAAGCTAATGCAAACAGACAAGACAAGAAAAGAAAAGGTATACAGATTAAGAAGGACAATATAAAATTCTGTTGGTTCACAGATGATATGATTGTCTATGCAGAAAATCTCAAAGAATCAACAATAGAAAAAAAATTCTGGAACTAAATGATTATAGCAATAATTCAAGATACATGTATAATATATGAAAGTCAACTGCTTTTCTTTATGCTAGTAATGATCAATTGGAATTTGAAATTAAAAACAATACCGATTATATTAGCATTGAAGAAAAAGAAATACTAACAGAATGTGAGCAAGATCTATAAGAGGAAAACTATGAAACTCATCAAAAAAGTCAAAGAAGATTCAACAAATTGAGAAACATTCCATGTTCATGTATAGAAAAACTCAATATTGTTAATTCCCAATTTGATCTATAAATCCCTCGACTGAAATCCTCACAAGTTATTTTGTGAATATTGTGAGACTGAGCCTAAAATGTATATGAGAAGGCAAAAGACCTACAATAGTCAACACAATGTTGAAGGAAAATAGCACCATCAGAGAACATATACCACCCAACTTCAAGACTTGCTATAAAGCTAGTAATCTAGACAGAGTGGTGTTGGTGAAAGTATAGAAAAATAGGTCAAGAGAACAGAATAATGAGTTCATAAGTAGGTGCACACAACCATAGTCAACAGATCTTTGACAAAGTAGCAGGGGAAAGTCAATGTACAAAAAATCTTTTCAAGAATTTATGCTGGAACAGCTGGACATTCACATACCAAAAAAAAATTGAATCTAAACACAGACTTTATACATTTTACAAAAATTAATTTAAATGTGTCACAGACCAAAATTAAAACACAAAACTATAAAATTCCTATAAGATAACTGAGATAACACAGGGGAAGAGCTACATGATTTTTTTTTTTTTTTTGAGTTGAGATCTCGCTCTGTCGCCCAGGCTGGAGTGTGGTTGGTGCTATCATGGCTCACTGCAGCTTTGAGCTCCTGGGCTTATGTAATCCTCCTGCCTTACCCTGTGGAGTAGCTGAGATTATAGCATAGGTGACTTTTTATTTGGCAGCGACTTTTTACATCCAACACTGAATCCTCGATCCATAAAATTTTTTAAAAAGGTGAATTTCATTAAAATTAAAAATTTCTGAGACTATTCAGAGAATGGAGAGGCAAAAAATTAGGAAACATTTTTGCAAAACACATAAATGATAAATAATTGATGTCCAAAATATACAAAAACTCTTAAAATTAAAAAAAGGAAACAGAAGATCTGAATAGATATCTCACCAAAGATGTTATACACGTGGCAAATAAACATTTACAAGTTGCTCAACATCATATGTCATTAGTTAATTACAAATTAAAACAGTATCGAGAAGCTATACACCTATTAGAATGGGTATAATAAAAAAAAAACCTGACAATACCAATTTCTGACAAGGATATGGAGCACCAGAAGCTGTCATTCATTCCTGGTGGGAATGCAAAATGATGCAACCACTTTGGAACACAGTTTGAGTCTTGCCAAATGATTCAACGATTTCACTCCTAGGTATTTACCTAAATGGGTTGAAAATACATGTCCACACAAAAGCTGCATATAAATGCTTATTGCAGCTTGATTCATAATTGCCAAAAATTGGAAGGAACCAATCATCATTCAAATTGTGTAAGGGTAAACAAACTTGGTATGTACACACTGAAATATTAGTCAGCAATAAAAAAGTTAATCATCAAGCCATGAAAATACATGGCAAAACCTTAAATGCACACTGCTCAGTGAAAGAAGCCAGTCTGAAAAGATGATATACTGTATGATTTTAATGATAAGGGATTCTGGAAAAGGCCAAATTCTAGAAACATTAAAAAATCAGTCATTGTCAAGTTGTAGGTGCAGAGGAGGAAAGGTATTGATTTAAAATTGTAATATAAAATTTATACAAATAACTAGTGTGGACTATTGCATCCTACCCTAGTTACCACCACTGTTAACATTATTCAGCTGCTCTTTTTCCCTGTCCAGGTCCCATGCCCGTATCTACTGTGACAGTCACAGTAGAGCCTCTTGAGGTAGGCCAGCTTCAGCATGACCTGTTTCTCTAGGATGTCTGCATGCAGCTCTGTCTATTACAATGGTGTAATACCTACATGGCAGGCATTTGGCATGAGGAAAGTGTCCCAACTTAAACAAAAGTGTCTGGCAGGCTTATGTCAGAGCAGAAAATCCCCTTTTCAAATCAGAGAATTTCCCAATTTAAAGTTATTTCATCATAGCCTGTCGAGGCCAGATGACATCATAGGTCTCCTCATTCAATCGCTTCATGCTGTGGATGAAGGGACTGAGTCTACAGAAGAGTTGGGTTATCTTCCCTTGCTTTTCATATGACGGAATCTTTAGTCATGCCTGAGTCCAGTGAGTGACTTTTGGGTTCTGAAAGGCTGAACTTCTACCCACAGGATGCTTGGCCTGATAAACAGAAGATTCAGGAGATTGACAACCACATTATATTTCTTCTTAGCTTCATTCAGCACTGCTTTTTAGTCCATGCTTCAGTTTTCTCAGATCATTCTTAGCCTCAGACACTGGAGGTTAAGTATCTCCAAAAGGCACTCCTGGTTCAATTCCTAATTCCCCTACAGAATTCACTCCCCATTCAATAAATCTTCACCCAGTGTCCAACTGTGTGCCAGACACTATGCTGGGTATTTTGATGTAGCAGTGAAGAAACAGACATGGGGCTATTATATCTGCTATCTGGCCAGGCACGGTGGCTCACACCTACAGTCCCTAGCACTTTGGGAGGCCAAGGTGGGCAGATCACTTCAGGTCAGGAGTTCAAGACCAGCCTGGCCAACGTGATGAAACCCTGTCTCTACTAAAAATACAAAAAACTGGCCGGATGTGGTAGCAGGCGCCTGTAATCCCAGCTACTTGGGAGGCTGAGACATGAGAACCTCTTGAACCCGGGAGGCAGAGGTTGCAGTGAGCCAAGATTGTGCCATTGCACTCCACCCTGGGTGACAAGAGCGAGACTCCATCTCAAAAAAAAAAAAAGTTATTTATCCAGTGAAGGAGAGACAATAACAAGGAAACAACTTGGTAAACAAGCAAGTGTAAATGATTTTCAGTGCTGTAAGGAAATGGTTGTAGTGAGACTATGGACAAGGTGTTGGCATCTTCCTAGAGTCAGGCAGCTTGTGTCCAAGAAAGCAGAGCCAGGGGCATGTAAACAGAATTGTGTATATTTAAGGTATACAGGCCTGGCACGGTGGCTCACGCCTGTAATCCCAGCACTTTGGGGGGCCAAGGCTGGCGAATCACCCCAGGTCAGGAGTTCGAGACCACCCTGGCCAGCATGGTGAAACCGCGTCTCTACTAAAAATACAAAAATTAGCTGGTCGTGGTGGTGGGTGTCTGTAATCCCAGCTACTCAGGAGGCTGAGGCAGAATTGCTTGAACCCAGGAGGGGGAGGTTGCAGTGAGCCAAGATCTCACCACTGCACTCCAGCCTGGGCAACAAAAGTGAGACTCTGTTTCAAAACAAAACAAACATCAAAAAAGGTATACAATCTGATGTTTTGATACACATATACATTGTGAAATGATACCACTACCAAGCTAATGAACATATGCATCACCTCAAATAGTCACCATTTGTGTGTGTGGTGTGCGTGTGTGTGTGTGTGTGTGGTGAGAACATCTGAGAACTGCTTTCAGCAGATTCCAAGTATATAATACAGTATTAACTATAGTCACCATGCTGTAAATAAAATCTCCAGAAATTATTTATCCTGTATAACAGAAACTTTGTACCCTTTAGCCAACATCTCCCCATTTTTCCCATCTTCTGTCCCCTGGTAACTATCATCCTACTGTCTACATCTGTAGGTTTCACTTTTTTTTTTTTTCCTTTTTAGATTGCATCTATAAGTAAGATCATTCAGTATTTGTGTTTCTGTGCCTGGTTTAATTCACTCACTATAATGTCCTCCAGCTTCATCCATTGTCACAAATGAGAGGATTTCCTTCTTTTCCAAGACTGAATCATATTCCATGGTACACAAATACTACATTTTATTTATCCAGTGACTTGTTGACAGACACTCAGGTTGTTTCCATATTTTAACTATTATGAATAATGTTGTATTGAATATGGGAGTGCAGTTATCTCTTCGAGATAGTGATTTCATTTCCATTGGATATATAACCACTAGTGGTATTGCTTAATGATATGGTAGTTTATTTTTAATTTTTTTAGAAAGCTGTTTTGGAAGAACCAGTCATCACAGAAACCTACACTGTTTTCCATAATAGGGGTACTAAGTAACATTCTCACCAACAGTGTACAAGGGTTCCCATTTCTCCACACCTTCATCAACACTTATCTTTAATCTTTTTTATGATAGCCATTCTAGATGTATGAAATTACACCTCGCTGTGGTTTGATTTACATTTTTTTCTGATGACTAGTGATTTTGATATATCAATATATTGATATTGATATAATACAAATATATTATAAAATTTTTTCATACATTTGTTGGCCAAATAGATATATTCTTTGGAGAAATGTCTACTTAAGTCCCTTGCCCATTTTAAAAACTGGGTTATTTGTTTTCTTGAAATTGAGTTGTATGATTTTAGTATGTATGTTGGATACTGACCCCTTACCAAATGTATGGCTCGCAAATATTTTCTCCCATTCTATAAGTTGTTTCTTCACTTTGTTGATTATCGCCTTTGCTATGAAGAAGTGTTTTGGTTTGATGTAATCCCATTTGTCTATTTTTGCTTTTGTTGCCTGTGCTTTTGGAGTCGTATCCAAAAATTTATTCCACAGAATAATGTTACGAAGGTTTTCCCCCAGTATTTTTACATTGTTAGGTGTTAAATTTTTAATCCATTTTGAGTTGATTTTTGCGTGTGGTGTGAGACAAGGGTCCAATTTCATTCTTCTGCATGTAGATATCCAGTTTTTCCTACACCTTTTGCTAAAGAGACTATGTTTTCCATTCTGGGTTCTTAGCACCTTTGTTAAAGATCAATTTACTGTAATTGTATGGATTTATTTCTGAGCTCTCTGTTCTGTTAAATGGTCTATACCTTTGATGCATGCCAATACCATCGTGTTTGATGGCTATAACTCTGTAATATATTATAAAATTAGGTAATATAATTCATTCAGTTTTGTTCTTCTTGCTTAAAATTGCTTTGGTTATTTGGGATCTTTTGTGGTTCCGTATAAGTTTTTTTTTTTTTTTTTTGAGGTGGAGTTTCGCTCTTGTTGCCCAGGCTGGAGTGCAATGGTGCAACCTCTGCTCACTGCAACCTCAGCCTCCTGGGTTCAAGCAAATCTCCTGCCTCAGCCTCCTGAGTAGCTGGGATCACAGGCATGCGCCACTATGCCTGGCTGATTTTGTTTTTTAGTAGAGACAGGGTTTCTTCATGTTGGGCAGGCTGGTCTCGAACTCCTGACCTTAGGTGACCCGCCTGCCTTGGCCTCCCAAATTGCTGAGATTACAGGCGTGAGCCACTGCGCCCGGCCTCCATGTAAGTTTTAACATTGTTATTTGTATTTCTGTGAAAAATGCTGTTGGAAGTTAGATAAATATTTCATTGAATCTGTAGATCATGGTGAGTAGTATGAACATTTTGACAATATTAATTCTTTCAATCCATTATCACAGGATATTGTTTCATTTATTTGTGTCTTATTTCTTCCATCAATATTTTATAGTTTTCAGTGTACATACCTTTTACCTTATTGATTAAATTTACTTTTTTAATTTTTAAATTTATTTATTAAATTTACTTCTAAGTATGTGTTAGGGATTTTTATATATTAGATCATGTCATCTGCAAAGAGAGACAATTTAACTTCTTTCTTTCCAAGCTGGATACCTTTTATTTCTTTTTCTTGTTGACTAGGACACCCATTTGTATGTTGAATAAAAGCGGTAAGAGTGGGCATCCTTGTCTTGTTCCTGATGTTAAAGGAAAAGTTTTCAACTTGATTATACAGTGTCTTGGTGATGATCTCTTTATGTTTAATCTATTTGAAATTCTTTGAACTCATTGGTCTGGATTTTCATATACTTCTCCAGATTTGGGAAATTTTCTGTTATTTTCTTAAAGAAGCCTTTTTCCTCTTTCTCTTTCTCTGTTCCTTCTAGGACTTTCTTAATGCATATTAGGTTTGCTTGATGGTGGCCCATAAATCCTGTCGGTCTTCTTCACTCTTTTCATTCTTTTTTTCTTTTGTTCCTCTGACTGGTTAATTTCAAATAAGCAGTGTTTGAGGTCACTGCCTCTTTCTGCTGCTTTATCAAGTTTGCTGTTGAAGATCTCTGAAATTTTTCAGTTCAGTCATTATGTTCTTCAGCTTCAGAATTTCTGTTTGGTTATTTTTTATGTTTTCTCTCTGTCAAACTTTTCATTTTATTCACACATTGTTTTCCTGATTTTGTTTGGTTGGCTGTGTCTTCTTGTGTAGTTCATTGAGCTTCTTCAAGCCAATTAGTTTGAATTCTTCTTCAGGAAGTTCATAGATCTCCATTTCTTTAGATTGGTTATGGGTATTACATTCTTTTTGTGATGTCATGTTTCCCGGATTATTTATGTTCCTTGTGGCTTTGCCTTGGTGTATTCATATTTGAAGAAGTAGGCACCTCTTACAGTATTTACAGACACTTCAGTGGGAAATCCTTTTACCAGTCAGCTTGTCCGGAGATTCTGGGAAGGCCAACTGGCATGGTCCATGGGTGGGATTATTTTAGGGGGCTGGCCTGGTGCCTAGGTCAGTGGGCATGTGGGCCTGGCTCTTGAGTCCGCAACGGTTGGCCTGGTGCCTTGGCCTGTGGGGGCAGGCCTATAGCCCCAGTCCACTCAGTGGACTATGAGCATGGGTCTACATGGGTGGGTCTGGATCCTGGGTCTGTGGGTGTGGACTGGCTCCTGGGTCTGAGGTGACTGGCCTGGTACCAGAGCCCACGAGAGTAGACTTGGTCTTCAGGGATAGGCCTGGAGCCTGAGTCCATAAGGCCAATCTGGCACTGGGAAGGTCCTTGAGCCTGAGTTCATAGGGGCTATTCTGGTACTGGGTGGGCCCAGAACCTGAGTTTATGAGGCTGGGTTCAGTATAGAATCTATGGCAGCAGCCTGGCCCTAGGGTCAACTGAGACAGGCCTCATATCTGATTCCATTGGGAAAAGCCTAGTACCTAAGACCATGAAAACAGGCCTGGAATTGGGTCCATAGGGGTTGACCTTATGCTGGAGCCTAGAGCTGCAGGGGCCATCCTGGAGCTTGAAGGTGTGGGTGCCAGCATGGCTCTGGATGGGCCTGTTGCCTGAGGTCATGTGAGCTGGCCTGGGGCCTGGAGGCCACAAGGGCTGGTCTAGATCTTGGGGCCACAGAGGCTAACCTGGTGCAGGTATTGGCCTGCAGCTTGGGGATGCAAAGGTTGACCTGGTGCTGGGGCGAACCTGGAAGCTGAACTGGTGCTGGGGTGAGTCTGGAAGCTAAGTCTATGAAAATGAGCCACATATTGAGACCACAGGGATCAGTCTGGCATTAGTCACACTGGTATTAGGGCACACTGGTACCTGATTCCATGGGAACAGGTCTGGTGCCTGAGACCATGAAGGTGGGTCTGTAGCCTGGAACAATGGGACCGGCTTTGTGCCAAGATTCACTGGTAGGAGTCTGGTGCCAAAATCCATGTGAGAGTCAGGCACTCACTTCACTTTCCTTTCCCTATGCAAAAGGTATCTCTCTCTCTACTGTGATGTGCAAACTTGGGGTAGATGTCACACGGGTAATGCAATACTGTCCTTCTTACCTTATTCAATGTGCCGTTTCTTATTTCTATACTCTATCCAGGTGCTGTAATCTCTGACCTGGATTCCTTAGCTCTTGCAAAGGTATTTTCATTCATGGATGGTTGTTCAAATTGATTTTTCTGTGAGATGAGTGCTGAAAATGCCTATTTCACCATCATGCTGATGTCACACTGAAAATTCAAATTCTGTCTTATGATGCTGGTTTATGGATGGCTTTATAGAAGCCCATCCTGTAAAGAGAGAGGGAATTAACACATTCCAAGCAGAGGAAATGGCAATTGATGGAAGAACTCAGTGGGTTCAGGAAACTGAAATAATGGATATAGATCTCCAATATATAGAATACAGAGTGACAAAGAGGCCAGGACAGTTAATGGTGGGGATGGAGTGGGTGGGTGATCAGCCATAGGCAACATTGAATGTCATGGTCTGTAGGTAAAAACAATAAATGGTCTCATATTTTTAAAATATAAAATGTATAAAATGATTTCAAAAGTCACCAGGTGATAGATGCAATTCTAAAAAAAAATGTAGACCTTTAAAAAGTTATTAAAGCGACTAAATGAGCAAGTTCCAGATTTTAACTGATTCTAGAGGTTTGGATATAAAATGAGATATTTCATATTTGGCCTGCTTGTACTGAACATTTACTGACAGATGTGCTTTTCTTCTGAACTAATTCTACCATGTGTGTGCTAATAAATTTTATGTAAAAACATGTCCACAGTCAATTACATCTGGTAAACGCTAATTTGAAACAGAAGTCTTCTTTGAACCCTTAACCTGGTAAACATTTAAAATCTCCAAAAATAATGTAGAAATGCAGCAGTTACTACATTTACTTGACCATTGCTAATTCTTTTATTGAAGCATCTTGAAAGATTAGATTTTAGGTCACAATATCTGGGTATTTTTGGTTCTAAGAGATAATAGAGACTGTGCAACAACAAATGTCACTATAGGGTATTACTTGTGGTAAACTATTTCTGTTATTTATTTCCTGTTGAATTAATTTAGAAAATCATATTCTGAAAGAACACAGTATAAACTTTTTATTTTCTGTGGCAGAGTTGGTAGACTGAATAAAACGACTTATTTGCATGTTGGTTCCAGCAAATGGGGTTGTCACCTGGCTGTGAGAGCAGCAGGAGCTAGCTCCGGCCTGGCATAGAGACAGAGGGCAGGGACTGATCCTCCAGCAGGCAGGAGCCGCTGCTTGCTCTGGCTCACTTTAGCACATTTTAGCAGAGAAATGCCTGCAATCCATATGGATTATAGCAGACAGCACGTTAATTAGGCTCTACATTATGGTGATCAATTATTTTTAAAAATATACCTCAGGCCAGGCTGGACGCAGTGGCTCACGCCTGTAATCCCAGCACTTTGGGAGGCCGAGACGGGCGGATCACGAGGTCAGGAGATCGAGACTATCCTGGTTAACACGGTGAAACCCCGTCTCTACCAAAAATACAAAAAATTAGCCGGGCGTGGTGGCGGGAGCCTGTAGTCCCAGCTACTCCGGAGGCTGAGGCAGGAGAATGGCGTGAACCCAGGAGGCGGAGCTTGCAGTGAGCCGAGATCGTGCCACTGCACTCCAGCCTGGGCGACAGAGCGAGACTCCGTCTCAAAACAAACAAACAAACAAAAACCTACCTCAGGCCAGGTGCAGTGGCTCACGCCTGTAATCCCAACACTTTGCGAGGACGAGGTGGAAGGATTGTGTGAGCCCAGGAGTTCAAGACCAACCTGGGCAATAAAGCGAGACCCTGTCTCTACAAAAAAATTTTTAAAAAGTTAGCCAGGCATGGTGGTGTATGCCTATAGTTCCAACTACTCGAGAGGCTGAGGCAGAAGGATCGCTTGAGTCCAGGTGGTCAAGGCTGCAGAGAACCATGGTCACACCACTACACTACATGTCTCATTCTAATGTTACCCAATTTGTTGGCAAAAGCCTGTTAGACGCTTGGTTTTCCTGACTTCAAGGCCCATGTACTTCATCCTTCATGCCCTTGAATCTGCCCTTTTGTATTAGGTTTAATTTGTCATTTGAGCTAAGTTTCAGAAATCTTGGGCAGATTTTAAGTAAACTGAATAAAAAATAGTCCATTCTCTCAAATTTGGATTTTCTTTCTCTAGTTAAAATGGTAGCATTTTCATAACAGTTTAGTAGAGAAAATAATTTCATAAAAAGGGAGTTTTTTAAAAAATCACAACTCTTTATGAATATAATGCCATGCCCAAGGCATGTACCTTTTCTCCTAAACTAGGGCTTTTTTAAGGTTATATAGAAAGAATCTTCACAGTCTAAAGCATTTTGAGTATGTTGTGGGCCAGAATACATTAACTGATAATTTACTATGCATGAATCCATTGACTAATGTGTCAATGAAGGACAGATAGCAAGCAAACACCTGCCTACTATAATTTATTACTCAATATAAATGAAACTTATCACATTCTCTTTTTCTGATTACCAGAAAAAAAATCCTTTTAGTTCATTTTGGAAGAAAATTGAAACCTACATTAAAAGCATTATTACAATTTTTGGTAAAATATACCCTTGAGCAAATATATATGAAAAATGTTAATTGTAAGTTGGCTGTCATTCCTACCTAACATGTAGTTTATCTCAACACAAAGCTGAGCAGCCAAGCACAAAGATAATGCTAATTTTTTATAGCCATTAATAGTTAATGCTAGAAAAGCTGTCATATTTTGTTTTAAAATATTCCCTAGAATGTAGTATTTCATATCTATGACATTTCATAGGAATACAAAAATGCATACCTCTCAACATTTATAACAACAACAAAATCCTTCAGTGTGATATTTTGGCAAAAATAAGGGAGAAAGTTCCAAATTTTGAATAAATTAATCTTTAGTACTTTTTCTTATAGTTGAAAAATGAGACAGAAAAATTCTTGTGTAAGACTAGACAAATATTAAACTGCTTTCACATTTTGTCTTAATTACTCACTTGGTTACATTCCTATTGAAGAAAAAGTTTATCAGTGAGTCAGTAAGGCACCAAGATGTCAAAGCATTAATACTACAGAATAAAAAAGCCTAATAAATACAAATGTCCACAGAACTATTTGTACACAAATGTTTATGGCAGCTTTATTTTTAATAGTAAGAAATGAGCCTAGATGTTCATCAACTGTTGAATAGATAAATGCTTGTAGTATAACCGTCCAATGGAATAGTAATCCAATATTTAAAAGGAATGAACTATTAATGCAAATGAGTTAATTTCAAAATAAATATGGTGGCCAGGTGTGGTGGCTCATGCCTGTAATCCCATCACTTTGGGAGGCCAAGGCGGGCAGACCACAAGGTCAGGAGATTGAGACCATCCTGGTTTACACATGGTGAAACCCCGTCTTTACTAAAAATACAAAAAATTAGTCGGGCGTGGTGGCAGGCACCTGTAGTCCAGCTACTCAGGAGGCTGAGGCAGGAGAATGGCATGAACCTGGGAGGCAGAGCTTGCAGTGAGCCGAGATCGTGCCACTGCACTCCAGCCTGGGCGACAGAGCGAGACTCCATCTCAAAAAAATAAATTAATTAAATAAAATAAATAAATACGGTGAGTGAAAAAAGGCAGGAAAAAAGAGTATATACTGTAAAAATTGTATTTCTATGAAATTCTAGAAAATTCGAACCAATCTACGGTGACAGAAAAGAAATAAACAGTTGCCTAAGAAGGAGTGGGTACAAAGTGATTACAAAAACAAGCATTGCCAAAGGACAAAGGAAACTTGAGAGTGTGGTGGATGAGTTCCCCTCCTTGAGAGTGGTGTTGGTTTCATGGATGTATGTATGTGCCTATGCTTGTTAAATTGTATACTTTATACGTGTGCAGTTAATTTTACATAAATTTTAACCTCATCAAGCCTGTTAATAAAAGGTTTTTTTTAGATAAATATTAAGGGGAGAAATTGTTCTACCTGTAACCATAGTTGACCAAGATACATTTTCTTGTCACCATTACTAAAATAGTTATAGTGGACATATCTATTTGGATATGTGCTGGCATCTTACTCCCAACATATGTAAATCTTAACTGAAAATAAAGGACTGATTTTTAAAGAATGAGACTTGTAGTGTGAAGCTAAATGGGCTCTCTAAAACAAAAGGAATGAAACCCCTGATTTGTAGCATTTGCTGATTTCTATTGTGTAAATTCTCTCACCATGGCTTTTATTACAAAGGATATGTCTAATACCTGGCTGGTAAAATTCTCAGATAGCTTCTCGGGAACACCTTCTATGACCAGTCAGGGTAAAGCTGAATTTCTTCTACCCATGGGTTACTCTCTTACCTGTGGACCTGCCTTTTCTTCTCAATTGACCTATAACACATTTATGTTTTTGTTTGAAATAGTCTCCCTATATTGGAATAGAGCCCTTTGGGAGCAATGACTTCAGCTCACGCCTATGTTCCCTTTACCAAGAAGGTCTCAACTCACAAAAGTGTTCAACCATTATTTATTTATTCTCCCAACAAATGTTTTGGACTGGGTGTGGAGCTGGGGGTAAAGAGGTGAGCAAATCAGATATAAATTTGACCTCAAGGAACATATAGTCTATTTGGGGAGAGCTACTTTAATCAAATACACAAATATTGGCAAAATTAAAGCTGTGATTAGTGATTTTAAAAAGACATATGATTCATTGGAAGCATAAAATAGCAGAACCTGACTTACTCTAGGGAGTCAGGATTGCTTCTCTGAGGAATGACATTTGAGCTGGGACCTGCAGGATGAAAAAATTAATGTGAGAGTTTTTGTAGTGAGAAGAGCAATTCAGAAAGTAGAAATGGCTTATGTGAAATCGCTGTGGCAGGAGAGCAAGGAGTGTTGGGGGCCTGAGTGAAGGCTGGTGTGGCACAGTGAGCAGAGTGGGGAGCCCTGTGCATGGTGACTTGGGGGGACACAGAAAGACCATACAGGATTTTAGAGGCCTAGCTGAGTCTTTGGACTTTATCTCCTAGGCATTGGAATAACCAGAAGTCCTTGACACCACCGAGATAATGGGAAGCCATTAACACCATTTTGACCTGTGGATGACATGATCAGACTTCCATCTCAAAGAGAACTGTGGATACACTGGGGATAATAGACAGGAAGGGGTCTGATATGGTTTGGCTCTGTGTTCCCACCCAAATCTCATATTGAATTGTAGTCCCCAATATTGGAGGAGGAACCTGGTGGGAGGTTATTGGACTATGGAGGCAGATCTCTCCTTGCTGTTTTCATGATAGTGAGTGAGTTCTCACGAGATCTGGTTGTGTGAAAGCGGGCAGCACCTCTCCCTTGGCTCTCTCTCTCCCTTCTGCCAGCCATGTGAAGATGTGGTTGCTTCCCTTTGGCCTTCAGCCATGATTGTAAATTTTCTGAGTCCTCTCCAACTATGCTTTCTGTACAGCCTGTGGAACTGTGAGTCAATTAAACCTCTTTTCTTCATAAATTACCCAGTCTCGGGTAGTTCTTTATAGCAGTGTGAGAACAGACTAATACCAGCATCAAGAGTAGCTGGGCGAGATCAGCTGGCCACATGATGGTGTCACTGTGCCCAGGGAGTTGATGGTGGTTAATACAGATAAATTCTAGAGATAAAATTGACTTGATTAAGTAGACATGAATGTGAGGAAGACAGAAGAGTCAGGAATGTCTTTTAGGCTTCTCAACTGCAAAGATGGCAGTCATTTTTGACTCTGAAATTAAGAATAATCACCAAGAGGGGGTAGGAGGAGAGATGGTGACTTTGGCTTTACATACTGTTCTCATGCTTGCTCTCATGTTATTAGAGTCTACATTACTGCTCCTGGAAAAAATCTTCATGTCCAAATTATAAAAATGTGCTTGGTTAAATGCCTGTTAAATTTGAGAGAGACTACAATTTCCTAACAGCATAGTCTAAAACAGTTCTGAAAAATTACTTTAAAATGTTCCTTATAACCTTCATTATACTACCAAATAGTAATTTATTCATACTTGTCTTTATGACTGAGTGGGAGAATTTAGAACTCAAGATTTTTTAAAAAATAATATTTATCATACAGGCTGAATAAAGAAAATGTGGTACATATACACCATGGAATACTATGCAGCCAGAACAAAGAGGAGGATCATGTCCTCTTCAGCAACATCGATGGAGCTAGAGGCCATTATCCTTAGCAAACTAACCCAGAAACAGAAAACCAAATACCGCATGTTGTCACTTATAAGTGGGAGCTAAATGATGATAACACATGGACACATAGAGGGGAGCAACACACACTGGGGCCTCTCAGAGGGTGGAGTGTGGGAGGAGGGAGAGATTCAGGAAAAATAACTAATGGGTACTAGGCTTAATACCTGGGTGATGAAATAGTCTGTACAACAAACACCCATGACACAAGTTTCCCTATGTAATAAACCTGTACATGTAACACTGAAGTTAAAAGTTAAATAAAATTATCAGGCCGGGCTCGGTGGCTCACGCCTGTAATCCCAGCACTTTGGGAGACCGAGGTGGGCAGATCACGAGGTCAGGAGTTCGAGACCAGCCTGGCCAATATGGTGAAACCCTGTCTCTACTAAAAAAATACAAAAATTAGCTAGGCGTGGTGGCAGGCGTCTGTAGTCCCAGCTACTCGGGAGGCTGAGACAGGAGAATCGCTTGAATCCGGGAGGTGGAGGTTGCAGTGAGCTGAGATTGCACCACTGCACTCCAGCCTGGGCGACAGAGAGACTTCGTCTCAAAAAAAAATTATCATCAAGAGATTAAGTCATGGTATGAACAAATGATATATTGTCTAAAAATAGTTCTCCGTAAGATGCTTTAAAATTTTAATTATTAAGTTGCCATCATTTCTATGGGAAAATCTTATATTATTTGACCTAAAGCACAAATACCAGCACTTAAATATGAGTAAGTAAAAGCAGATAAATAATATAATTGCTTTCCATTTACACTCAGGTTAGAGGCAACCTGAGTGATTTGAGGAGGTGGTAGTGATTGGGCTTTTCTATAAAATGTTTATTTAAACATTTATAGAAAATAAAATGCTAAATCAAATAGGATTTAAACTTAACAATAAACAAAATAACTGAATAATTGTGAAGTTTCTATTTTTTATCTCCATGACTTTTGCTCCATGAAGACAGTCAGATACAAACACTATGCCAGTATCAGAAATTAAAATTGTATATTTATTTTCCCTTTTGATTTCAATTTTTGAAGGAAAAATATATGAGGTTACTTCAGAAAAAAATGTGTCAAAAAGATGTATTTTTTTGTTTTGCACAATTTTTAATTAGGGCAGAAGTAGAAGCTGCTCTTAATAACTTTTCACTGACCCGGAGCCACTTGGAAAAGTCCTACAGAGGTGAAAAAACAAAAAAGCAAGAAAACCACACCTCCTCTGAAGTGAGTCTGACATTAAAGACAATTCAAACTCACTCCAACGCAGACATTTAGTGACTCAGACATGACACTTTATTGTGTGTGAGACAGGATGGGTAATGGGAACTGGGGTTAGAATCTGTAAGCAACAATTATGAAAAATGAATTACCGGCTGGGTGCAGTGGCTCACGCCTGTAATCCCAGAACTTGGGGAGGCCGAGGTGGGTGAATCACGAGGAAAGGAGATCGAGACTATCCTGGCTAACACGGTGAAACCCCATCTCTATTAAAAATACAAAAAATTAGCCGGGCATGATGGTGGGCGCCTGTAGTCTCAGCTACTCAGGAGACTGAGGCAGGAGAATGGCGTGAACCCGGGAGGCGGTGCTTGCAGTGAGCCAAGATCGCGCCACTGCACTCCAGCCCGGGCGACAAAGCGAGACTCCGTCTAAAAAAAAAAAAAAAAAGGAAAAGAAAAATGAATTACCATTGGATAAATTAATGAGAATCAGTATAAACTAAAATGTGGGATTCTCATGCTTTGCATTTGTTAACTTTTCTCTTTTACTGCCTGTGAATTAACACATCTACAAAGACCACCGAAAAGAATATGCACAGTCATCATTTTATTCATCTATGAAAATTACTTCTGAGGAACTATCTACTAAACATTTTTGTGGACATGTCATAGTATAGTGACTTTAAAAAATCTTTGTTTTCTTAAACTTCTATGCTAAGATAATGTTTCATTCAAAAACTAAAAGAGTGTTCATTAATAGTAATCTAGGTGGGCATGCTATTTCTTTTTATAAAAAATTTTACTACTTATTTCTCAACATTTGAAGAGTGTATTTAGTTTCTGACTATTTAAGAACATGTATACCTGTCCCCTAAGAAAATAAATAATCAACATTTTAATTTTGAAATAAATTGTACTGTGTTTTAATTATCAGTCTTGGTCCAAGCGTATCTGCAAATATTTCTTTTATTTAATTAAGTACATCATTCTAATTTTCATATTTCAAGCTCAAACTTTTCCCATATTTCTAGTTTTCTACTGTCATTAGGAACTTTGCATATACCTATATCTGACACAGTTTCTCAGTAAATTATTAATACATACAAATAATGCTGGCAATAAAATTCTTTCTGGGTTGAATAAAAACACACCACAAGGCCAGGTGCGGTTGCTCACTAATCCCAGCACTTCGGGAGGCCGAGGCGGGCAGATTACGAGGTCAGGAGATCGAGACCATCCTGGCTAACACGGTGAAACCCCGTCTCTACTAAAAATACGAACAATTAGTCGGGTGGAGTGGCGGGCGCCTGTAGTCCCAGCTACTCGGGAGGCTGAGGCAGGAGAAAGGCATGAACCCGGGAGGCGGAGCTTGCAGTGAGCCGAGATCGCGCCACTGCACTCCAGCCTGGGTAACAGAGGAGACGCCAGACTCCGTCTCAAAAAACAAAAAACAAAAACAAACAACAACAACAACAAAAACATGCACCACAAATGTTCCCAAAGTGTCTGATAATATTGTTATGGTAGTGATGCTTGAAGAAGAAAATGCTAATATTAGAAGAACTGCTCATAAAAGAGAAAACGGTGGGAAACATGATAAAAACCACAGTGATGGATTATTAGCAGATCATTTCTCCCAAGCTTTAGGTGAAAGCTTCCTTTGGAGTTACAGTGCAAGCGGGCAGGTAAATACTAGGGGTCCTAACAATAGCAGAGAACTGAGAGCAAAATAGCCTCTCACACATTTTCTCAAAAAAAATGTACATCTGAAACTTGCTTGGGGCCCTCTCAAGATAACACCTACAATCTTAATCCACACCTAAATTATCAAATTCAGGAAGTAGCTTTCCTGAATCTCAATTTCAGTTTTCCTGTGCATAGAAAATGCTCAAATCCCAAGTCCGTATTTTCCATGTCCTGAGAAAAGCAGATGTCAGGAGGGTGTGGGGTGACTCATGGGTTAAAATCTGGGTAAGCAGCAGGATAGGGGCAGCGAATGAGCAAGGGATTTTGGAGCAAGAATGCCTGTTCTGTGTTCTGTGAAGTGGGGGCCAGGCGAGTGAAGATGCATAGACTAGACAGGAGAGACAGGGTCTCTGTGGTCCCCTCACGGTGCCACACGTCCTCCTGGATTTCTGAAATGGGGAATGTGGAGCGTTGAGGTCCAGGGGTATCCAGGGGCCTTATATGTTCTATAGATATAAAGGGATAGAGTTCTTAATCAATTGTTATACTTGCCTCTCTATTACAGAAATCTGCAATGACAGCTTTACTGATTTCTGTTTTGAATCCATTTAACCCCTGAGATCGAAAACATTTTGCTGGCCTTAAATGACCGTCTACAGAAAGCTTTAATAAATAAATTCTACTGAAGTCTGCACAGTTCTCCTACCCATACCAAGTGTGAATTTTTGTATGTATGTTGAATGTGAATATGTTACAAGATTATCTAGAAAAATCTGGACTATCTATAACAACCTTCCTGGATTACGTGGGAAGAAGAGGGCTAGTCTGCCGGAATGGTGCTTCCAGAGCAGTGTATGTCAATGATGTGGACTCACTCCGCAGCATCCTTGGGCCCAGCTCCTGCTGCAGGCTCTGGAGGGATGCAGGAGACTATGGCCCAAGGCCTGCCTCCCGTTCTTTGGGACCTCACAACCCTGCTGGGGAGACCTGAAACCCCACCTCCAAAGACAGCAGAGCCTGGACTGACTGAGGGTCTGGCTCTCCCTCTGCTTCTCTGTGAAACAGTACTAATCATTTCATGTCTCTGGGAATTTTTCTGTTAAATAAAGGACCAGATTTCATGATTAGCAGGATTCTTTCAAACTCCAAAATTCTCTTTCTATGAGGGCAAGACAGCATATAATAAAATTTCACAGTATGATAATGTAGGGGTAGAAAAGATGTGAAATCTTTCCTTACCCATCATAAAGGTCACAGGCGACACTCCTATAACAAAAGACAGGTTAGCAAAAGTAATGCATGATACATTTATTTAATCAAAGTTTTACATGACATGGAGTCTTCAGAAATGAAGACCCAAAGACCCAGGGGAAACTGTCTATTTTAATGCTTAGGTTCAATGAAGAATGGGCAGCCACGTGCAAAGGTGATTGGACATCTCTTCAGATTCTTCTTGGCCTTTCTGTATGACATTCCTTTCCCTCGGTGTAAAGCAGGACCGCTCTGGAACCAGGGTCTTGTGATCTGCTATCAAACAAGGTAGGTCAGAGAATTTCTTCATGGCCAGCTGCCACACGGAAAGGCAAGGAAGGTTAGAGTGATATTTCCAGGGTGTCACGGCTTGCTTTGGGCAAGAAGAATTCTGGCTTCCAGGACTCACTTCAGGGGAAAAGCAGGGGGTGGAAGACAGGAAGGCAGGAGAAGGTCAGAGGGAAACTTGGCTTCTGGGGCCTTCAATCTCCTATAGTTCAAAGCACTCTGGATGCCAAAGCATCATACTTTGGGGTATAATTTTATGAGCCCCAGCAATAACAGTCTTTGTGGGAATTCAGAGAATGGGGAGGAATGTGTGAGCTGAAAAAGAATGAAGGAAGAGATGTCAACTAAAGTCAGCTTTTACCCACGTGGCAAGCATCGTTCTCTTTGGTTTTATGGAACAACAGTTGTGAAACTGGGCAACTTTCAGACAAACCATTTCATTCCTTCAGTAAATATCTAAGCTCTTATTATTGTCTTAAGGTTCAAAACAGGTCTCCCCATCCCATCTGGCCCCTAAAAAGGATATGTACTTAGTTAAAGAACACAAGACAGGGAATTTGAAGAATGACATTTTCCCCCCAAAGGCCAAATTTCTAACTTTGTGGTTCTTTCTAATGAGCTGTCTGTAGCTCAAGCCATACCCCTAGCAGCTGGATGATAAAAAAGGCTGTTTATTTGATCCTCAGACTGGGGAGGAGCACTAGTGATTTCTTTCCCTGCTTTACTGGCCCTGAGAAGAATACAACTTCTCGCTTGCACTCTGATTAGCAGCAGGTAGAAGAAAAAAGCTAATGTTAGAACTTTTCCCCTGTCCCTGATGCTCCAGACACTGATTCAGCAGAGGTGAAAGGAACCGTTTTCATTGTTCAGAGCTATAGATTTATGAAAATTGCTTCTTTTGATAGGCAGCCAGGCATGAAGCAGCCTTCTGCTTCTAGTCTCAAAAAAAAAAAAATACTGAGGGCTAATGATGTAAATCGAAGATATTGCCATATTTCCTGGATTTGGATCTCATTGCTACTCCTAGAGCAAAGAATGGTTCCTATGACTGAAGACAGAAACCATACAATGCATTCAACATTCTGTCTTTGGTAATCCCTGAAAGCCACACTAGAAATTTAGGATTGTGTTAGCTGTAGGAAGGAAATCTGAAGTTCCCATGGAGAGAGGCAAGTCAAAGTGCAAATGTTGAAGCTGCCGTTTTTCTCCATCAGCTTTCTTGGGAATTGAGGTAGGGACTTAAAACTGTTTTCACTAATGGCTCTTTAGTGCATCATAGTGAGGTTTTTATTCTTCCCATTAGAACTGAAAAATCTAACATGCTGCTGCCTTCACACCTCGTTTTCTGTCTTCATTAGGAAAGTAAATAGTGGCATGCAGGAAGCCTGGTGTAGACTAAATCCTACTTGCCAGGAGGCTCTGCTGAGGTGGCTATTTAGAGGAGCAGAAAGAGCCCTGGACCCCAACTCAGAGGAAGAGTCAGGGCTATGTCTCCAATAGGATGGGAGCAGCAACAGATGGCTTTGCACTTCTGGGTCACGGGACTTCATCTGTGAAATGAGAGGGTGGGAGTGGGCAATTCTTGCAGGAATTTCCCCTACTATTAACATCTCCTGGTACATTTGTTACAATTGATGAGCCAATACTAATACACTATTATTAAGACCATAGTTTACATTAGGGATCACTCTTTGTGTTTTACATTCTATAGCTTATGAGAAACCCACAATGACGTGTATCCATCATTACAGTATCATACAGAATACCTTCACCGCCCAAAAAATCCTCTCTGCTCCACCTATTCATCCCTCCCTTCCCCCAGAGGTCCTAAAGTATGTAGCCTTTTTGGATTGACTTCTTTCACTTAACAACATATATCTAAGTTTCCTCAATGTCTTTACATGTCTCTGCTAGCTCATTTCTATTTATCACTGCATAATATTTGGTTGTCTGGATGTACCACAGGTTATTTATCCATTTAGCTATTAAAAGTCATCTTCCAAGTTTTGGCAATTATGGACAAACCTGCTATAACCATCTGTGTGCAAGTTTTTGTTGAACATATCTTTGTTTTCAATCTCTTTGGGTAAGTACCAAGAACTGCAATTGCTGAAACATGTGGTAAGAGTATGTTTAGTTTTGTAAGATACTGTCGGCCGGGCGTGGTGGCTCACGCCTGTAATCCCTGCACTCTGGGAGGCCCAGGCGGGGGGATCACGAGGTCAAGATATCGAGACCATCCTGGCCAACATGGTGAAATCCCATCTCTACTAAAAATACAAAAATTAGCTGGGCGTGGTGGCACGCACCTGTAGTCTCAGCTACTTGGGAGGCTGAAGCAGGAGAATTGCTTGAATCCAGGAGGCGGAGGTTGCAGTGAGCTGAGATCGCACCACTGCACTCCAACCTGGCAATAGAGAGAGACTCTGTCTCAAAAAAAAAAAAAAGAAAGATACTGTCAAACTGTCATCTAAAGTGGCTATACTATATTGCATTCCTGTCGACAATGGATGGGAGTTCCTGTTGACTCATATCCTCCCCAGCATTTGGTGGTGTCAGTATTTTGAATGTCACCATTCTAATTTGTGTGTAGTAGTATCTCATTGTTATCTCAATTTGCATTTCTCCAATGACATATGATGTGGAGCATCTTCTCATATGCTTGTCATTCTGCATATCTTCTGGGATTAGATGTTTGTTCATATTTTTTACTCATTCTTAAATGTGTTGTTTTCTTCTTGTTGAATTTTAAGGATTCTTTATGTATTCTGGATACTAGTCTTCTATTGGATAAGTGTTATACAAAGATTTTCTCCCAATCTTTGGTTTGTCTTTTTATTGTCTTAACAGTGTCTTACACAGAATGGAAGTTTTAATTTTAATGAATTCCTACTTATCAATTTTTCTTGATGAATCATGCATTTTGATGTTGTACCTAAGGTCATAACCAAAATCAAGGTCAACTAAATATTTTCCTATGTTGTCTTCTAGAAGTTTTATAGTTTTGCACTTTACATTTAGGTCTATGATCCATTTCGACTTAATTTTTGTGACAGGTGTAAGTTCTGTGTATAGATTTATATTTTTGCATGTTGGATGACCAGTTATTCTAGCACCATTTGTTGAGAAGACTACCTTTTCTTTTGAATTGCCCTTGCTTCTGTGTCAGAGATCAGTTCACTACGTACATGTGGGTCTATTTTTTGGCCCGCTGGTATGTTCCATTGATCTATTTTTTTATTCTTTCACCAATACCACACTGTCTTGATCACTATAACTTTATCATAGATTTTGAAGCTATACAGTGTAAGACTTTCAAACTTGTTCTTCTTTAACATTTGTTGGCTAATCTGGATCTTTTGCCTTTTTATATAAACTTTGGAATCAGTTTGTCAATACCCACTAGATAACTTGCTGGGATTTCTATTGGGATTGCTTTTAATCTATAGATGAAATTTGAAAGAACTGACATCTTCACAATATTGAGTCTTTCTATCCATATACTTAGAACAACTCTCCATTTATTTAGATCTTCACTGAATGCCTTCATCACAGTTTGAGTTTTCCTTCTATAGATCTGATAAAATCAGAACAATGATGTGGAGCTATCACTGTCTTTGTTGAAGGAAACAACAAAACATATGTGCTCATTGGGAGAAATATTAGCAAATTATCACACATTCTGATTTGTTTTCTCTTAAATGTCAATTAATAGATGAAATTACAATGTGAAAATAACCATTGTTAACTTGTGTGAAGAAAATATGAGGGAAGATGGCTGACTAGACACAGCCAGGAGGAACAGCTCCCACCAAGGGACCAGGACATTGGGAAGACTGGTGTGCTCCTGGCAGATCTTCAGAGGGAAGGCTTTGAGAGCAGACAGAGGGAAGACACAGATGTTGGGCTGAAGGGGGAGGAAGCCGGGAACCCTGCAAGGGGCAACCGTGCACCAGGACTCATTCCAGGTCCCCAAAATCTCCTGGAGGAGAGGTGAGTTGAACAGGCAAGGGGCAACCTCCTCTTGTCGCAGGTCCCTGAAATCCTGACAGGAGGAGACCCCACAACCACCAGGGACACTTGAGTTGTCAGGAAGACCTGCTTATAAAGTGTTAATGGTAGAACTCCAGACTGTGCAAAGCCCAGAAGGTTTTGTGTGGGAGCCTCTGTAGTGGAGAATGGTCAGGGACACCCATTGCCCTAGGCTAGACTTGTTCTCATAGGAGACTTCAGCCCTAGGGGAACTGTCAGACCTGAACTCTGCAGGGCATTCTTGCCCCTGAGACAGGGCCAGTCTGACCTGAGCATCCTTCAGTCTGCTCGCCCCTCCTGGGGCCCCAGCCTGGCCACACCTGCTTGCAGTGCAGCTTCACAGCGGGGTGCAGTGGAGGCTACCTCCTGAGGACCTGCATCATAGTTCCTGTGCTGGCTGACTGTGCCTGACCAGCAGAGATCTGCTGCAGAGTGGCCCCCATGTACACACATCAGCCTAACTGTGCCCTGCCCCCACTGCAGTCTCCCCGTTCCACTTTGCCTGCATGCACTAGCCCACGGCCATCCCCCACATCGTTTTGCCACTGCATGTGTGTGTGGGTGGACCTTGCCTCCCCTTTCCTGCCACAGTGTGTGTGCCATGCTACTGCTGCCATCCTGAGTGCACTTCACCCTCTCGACCCCCCACCATACTGCCATTACTGTTGGAGCATTGATGAGTGGGCATGAAGCCCGCCAGCCCCGTCCCTGCCAATGCCCTGCCCCTGCACCGACACTACCACCAGTGTGACAATAGGCACCGAGAACAGAGGACCCACCCCTGTTCTGAGCGGCTACTACCACCCACGTGAATGTGCAAGGAGAACTCACACAGTCCTGTGCTCACCAGTGCTTCACTCCCATGCTAACACCGCCACCGGCACAAATGCACACAAAGACACAGGGGTGGGGGAGGGGGCAAGCATCCCCCACCCCCAACCCCTGCACCGTGATGCCACAGTTGCTGCTATGAATGCCCACAATGAGGCCAGCATGCTGGCAGCCACTAGCTCCCTGCCGCAGCCAGTGAATGTGCACCACACCTCGCTGCCACTGCTGCTGCTGCTGCTGAAGGTGTGAACCAGGATGGATCTCACTGGCACTGCCCTATGAAGCACTTTGACTGGCACCACCCATCAGAGTGTTGTGACCAGTGGTCTTGGATCATCTTGGTCCTTCCAGCACAGCAGGTTCCTAACCTTTAGGGGCCAGAGACAAAGCCTGGGCCAGAAACCAGTCCCCCAGAGTTAGAGCATGCAGTTTGGGAGTCCTGAGCTGAGCCTGAGCCTCCTAAAATATTCCAGAAATGAAACCAGTCAGTTGAACCCACCTTGTACCAAAACCAAACCCTCAAGGCCATCAAATAGAATAAAATAAAATAAAGCTCAGCCACAGGACATCAACTTAAAAGATTAAAGAAACATCAGCCCACAGAGATGAGAAAGAATCAGCACAAGAATCCTGACAGCTCAAAAGTCAGAGGGCCTTCTTCCCTCCAAATGACCACATCACCTCTCCAGCAAAGATGAGATGGTTGAAGTGACAGAAATGTAATTCAGAATATGGATATGAATGAAGATCATTAAGATTAAGCAGAATGTTGAAACCCAATCTACGGAAGCTAAGAGGCACAATAAAATGATACAGGAGCTGACAGATAAAATAGCTGTAGAGAAAAGAATGTAACCCACCCGATAGAGCTGAA
The DNA here is from genome assembly GCF_000001405.40 of Homo sapiens. NCBI lineage: Eukaryota > Metazoa > Chordata > Mammalia > Primates > Hominidae > Homo > Homo sapiens. The sequence goes on from NW_025791789.1 coordinate 344,232, forward strand.
AAACACGCTACAAGAATGTCATAATGCAATGGCAAGTATTAACAGCAGGATAGACCAAGCTGAGGAAAGAATCTCAGAGCTTGAAGACTGGCTTTCTGAAATAAGACAGCCAGACAAGAAGAAAGAAGAAAGAGTGAAAGTAAGAAATCTCTGAGAAACATAGAATTATGTAAAGAGACCGAATCTATGACTCATTGGTGTCTCTGAAAGAGATGGGGAGAATGGAAACTACTTGAAAACATATTTTAGGATTTCATCCATGAGACCTTTCCCAACCTAGCTAAAGAGACCAACATTCAGATTCTGAAAATGCAGAGAACCCTGCAAAATCCTTCACAAGAAAATCATCCCCAAGAGACATGACTATCAGATTCTCCAAGCTTGAAATGAAGCAAAAAAATCTTAAAGGCAGAGAAAAAGTAATGAGAGATAACCTACAAAGGTACAAAGGGAAGTCCATTAGACTAACAGCAGACCTATTAGCAGAAACCTCACAAGCCAGAAGAGGTTGGGAGCCAATATTCAACATTCTTAGATAAATGGAATTCCCACCAAGATTTCAAATCTAACCAACCTGAGCTTCATAAGTGAAGGAGAAATAAGATCCTTTTCAGACAAAGAAGTGCTGAGAAGATTTTTTTTTTTTACCACCAGACATGCCTTATAAGGCTCCTAAAGGAAGTACTAAATATGGAAAGAAAAGCCTGTTACCAGCCACTAAAAAAAAAAATACACTGAAATACACAGCCCAGTGACACTATAAGGCAACCACATAAGCCAGTCTTTAAAATAACCAGCTAACATTATGATGACAAGATTACATTCACACGTATCAGTATTAATCTTGAATGGAAATGGACTTAATTCCCCAATTTAAAGGCACAGAGTGGCAAGCTGACTGAAAAAGCAATACCCAATGGTATGCTGTCTTTAAAAACCTTATCTCACATGCAATGACATCCATAAATTCAAAACAAAGAGATGGAGGAAAATCTACCAAGCAAATGGAAAACAGAAAAAAAAGCAACTTTAAACCAACAAAGATTAAGAAAGACAAAGAAGGGCATTACGTAATGGTAAAAGGCTCAATTCAACAAGACATTACTATCCTAAATATATATGCTCCCAACACAGGAGCACCCAGATCCATAAAGCAAGTTCTTGGAGACCTTCAGAGACTTAGACTGTCATACAATATTAGTGGGAGACTTCAACACCCTACTGACCATATTAGACAGATCATTGAGGCAGAAAATTAACAAAGATATTCAGGACCTGAACTCAACACTGGACCAATGGACCTGATAGACATCTACAGAACACTCCACCCCAAAACAATAAAATATACATTCTTCTCATTGCCACATGGCACATACTCTGAAATCAACCACACATTGGACATAAAACAATACTCAGCAAATGCAAAAAGAACTGAAATTATACCAACCACACTCTCACACCACAGTGCAGTAAAAACAGAATTCAAGTCTAAGAAAATTGCTCAACACCATACAATTACATGGAACTTAAACAACCTGCTCCAGAATGAGTTTCAGGTAAATAATGAAATTAAGGCAGAAATCAAGAAGTTTTTTGAAACTACTGAAAACAAAGTTACAACATACCAGAATCTCTAGGACACAGCTAAGGCAGTGTTAAGAGGGAAATTTATAGCACTAAAAATCCACATCAAAAAGTTAGAAAGATCTTAAATTAACGACCTAACATCATGACTAAAAGAACTAGAGAAGCAAGAGCAAACTAACCCCAAAGCTAGGAGAAGACAAGAAATAACCAAAATCAGAGCTGAACTGAAGGAATTGAGACATGAAAAACTATTCAAAAGATCAACAAAGCCAGAGCTAATTTTTTGAAAAAGTTAATAAGATAGATAGACCACTAGCCAGAATAATAAAGAAGAAAGAGAGAAGATCCAATTAACACAATCAGAAATGACAAAGAGGATATTAGCACTTACCCCACAGAAATAAAAATAATCATCAGAGAATATTATGAACCCCTCTACACACACAAACTACAAAACCTAGAAGAAATGGATAAATTCCTGGATACATACACCCTCCCAAGACTGAACCAGGAAGACATTGAATCCCTCCACAAACCAATAACAAACTCCAAACTTGAATTGGTAATAAATAGCCTACCAATAAAAAAAAATAAAAATAAAAAAGCCCAGGACCAGATGGATTCACAACTGAATTCTGCCAGCTGTACAAAGAAGAGCTGGTACCATTCCTAGTGAAACTATTTCAACAAATGGAAGAGGAGAGACTCCTCCTCAGCTCATTCTATGAGGCCATCATCATCCTGATATCAAAACCTCTCAGAGACACAAAAATAAAAGAAAACTTCAGGCCAATATCCTTGATGAACATGGAAGCAAAACTTCTCAACAAAATTCTAGCAAACTGAATCCAGCAGCACGTCAAAAATTTAATCCACCACTATCAAATAGGCTTTATTCCTGGGATGCAAAGTTGGTTCAACATTTGCAAATCAATCAATGTGATTCGTCACATAGACAAAACTAAAGACAAAAACCACGATTATCTCAATAGACAAAGAAAGACTTTTGATAAAATTTAACATCCCTTTATTTTAAAAACTCTCAATGAACTAGATTAAAGACTTAAATGTAAAACCTAAAACTATAAAAATCCTGGAAGACAACCTAGGGAATATCATCCTGGACATAGGAATGGCAAAGATTTCATGACAAAGATGCCAGAAGCAATTGCAATGAAAGCAGATTTGACAAATGGTATCTAGTTAAACTAAAGAGCTTCTGCACAACAAAAGAAACTATCAACAGGGTAAACAGACAACCCACAGAATGGGAGAAAATATTTGCAAATTATGTATCTGACAAAGGTCAAATATCCAGCATCAATAAGAAACTTAAGTAAATTTATAAGAGCAAAACAAACAATCCCATTAAAAAGTAGGCAAAGGACATAAGCAGATGCTTTTCTAAAGAAGACATACATGCGGCCAACAAACATATGAAAAAAAATCCCATTATCACTGATCATTAGAGAAATGCAAATAAAAACCACAATGAGATACCATCTCACACCAGTCAGAATGGCTATAATTAAATGTCAAAAAATTACAGATGCTAGTGAGGTTGCAGGGGACAAAAAAAAACGCTTATGCACTGTTGGTGGGAGTTCAAATTAGTTCAACCATTGTGGGAAGCAGTGTGATGATTCCCCACAGAACTAAAAATAGAACTACCATTTCACCCAACAATCTCATTATTGGGTATATACCCAAAAGAATATATGTCATTCTATCATAAAGACACATGCATGCATATATTCAGAGCAACACAATTCACAATCGCAAAGATTTGGAGTCAATCTAAGTGGCCATCAATGTTAGACTGGATAGAGAAAATGTGGTACATATACACCATGGAATACTATGTAGTCATAAAAAAGAATGAGATCATGTCTTTTGCAGGAACATGGATGGAGCTGGAGGCCATGATGCTTAAACTAATGCAGGAACAGAAAACCAAATACCACATGTTCAAAACCAAATACCACATAATTGGGAGCTAAATGATGAGAACACATGGACACAAAGAGGGGAACAACACACACTGAGGCCTACTTGAGGATGAACGGTGGGAGGAGAGACAGGATCAGGAAAAATAACTATTGGGTACTAGGCTCAGTATCCGGGTGATGAAACAATCTATTTTCCTACATAACAAACCTTCACATGTACCCCTTAATCTAAAATACAAGATTTTTAAAAAAAGAAAATATGAGGAATAGCATACCATTTGGGTTGAGATAAGGAGAAAGAAAACATGCTTCGCTTACAAGATTTTGTTGGAAAACTGCAAAAAAATGTCTTTTACAAAATTGTTAAACATTTTTTTTTTAAATCAACACCACAATCCTTAAGTGCTTTAGTCAAAATACTTGTCAAGTGAGTAAAAAAAACAAATTAGTTGATCTTGCCTCTCCCCAGATTTTAGGTTCTGTCTACACAGGAACTGAGCAATAGATCTTATGTTATGACTTATTTTGGTAAAATAAATGGTCAGCGTAGCAAGAAAATGAGTTTAATTGAAGTTTTTCCTGCCAAAGATTGTAGGTTCCCTCGTTTATAGATACTGTATCATGGAATTTACTTTAGGTAGTTTTTTTTTTTCCTTCTCTGTCTCTGAAAAGACCTTGCATAGTAGTAGGCTTATTTTGGCTTAGTGATTGTCAGCCCTGACTTGATTACTCATTAAAGTAACCTGGAAAGCTTTAAAAATACTGAGGCCAGGCCCCTCCCCACAGATTATATTGAATTGAACTGTGATGGGGCTAGAGAATTAGGATGTTTTTTGAAGCAGCTGGACTTGTGAGTCACTGGTAGCCACACGAAAATATTATTTATTACATGCAGTTGTTTGATTGAATTAAATTTTTGTCTGAATTTCTGACCAGTTTTGATAAAGTATTTCATCCAGTACCCCATGTGCATACAGACTCACTTGTCTACTATAAGAGGAAAGTATTGTGTGACATGTTTTCATGAGTCCCTCACATTTCTGCACACTTTACGAGCAGACACAGACTGCCCTTTGTTTTGACCATCTTTTCAAGCATGTTGGTATCTCCTTCTGGAACAAAGACTAGGCATAGTTAGGGATCTTTACAAGGGATTTGCATTCCCTGAGCTCAGGGCTCGTATCCCGTAATGCATGTGCATTCATCCATCTGAGTCCATCCATGTCCTTCCCGTGGGACTCCAGGGCAAGGACAACTGATACCCTGTTGCTTATGCTGTTTGTTGGTCCATAAATAATAATGTTATTGACTGAGTGTGGTGGCTCACGCCTGTAATCCCAGCACTTTGGGAGGTTCAGGCAGGCAGATCACAAGGTCAGGAGATCGAGACCATCCTGACTAACACGGTGAAACCTTGTCTGTACTAAAAATACAAAAAATTAGCTGGGCATGGTGGTGGGCGCCTGTAGTCCCAGCTACACGGCAGGCTGAGGCAGGAGAATGGCGTGAACGTGGGAGGCAGAGCTTGCAGTGAGCCGAGATCATGCCACTGCACTCTAGCCTGGGCGACAGAGCGAGACTCCATCTCAAAAAAGTAAATAAATAAAATAAAATAATAAAATAATAACAATAATAATAACGTTCTTTGTCTCTGACCTGGGAGTCTTATTTCTTTTGGCAGCATCCATGAGAGTGGCAGGCCAACTTGTTAGATTGTAAGTAGTATAAAATTTCAGACCCTTTACTGTTCTTGCCAGGAAGATGAGTGTTAAATTGGATTAATACTTTGAAAATAAATGCAGAGAAACAATGTCTGGGAATAACTATTAAAAAGACATAATATATAAGGATCTCTGGGGTGTCCCACTTGGTAGAGCTGTAAGGTAACAGGGTGAATGTATCTTCTGAAAAGCCACAGCTTGCCTGTGATGCCACATTACAGGAAGTCATCGCATTTTGCAGGTATTTTGCATTTACGTTTTCTCGCAGCTGAAGGAATAATCGCTGTCTGGAGGTCTTAAAAAATAGATAATTGTCTCTAATACTATATCTTTACTGTTTACATTTCTTGTTATTGAACATCTACATGTCCAGGTGTGGTGGCTCACACCTGTAATCCCAGCAGTTTGAGAGGTCAAGGTGGGAGGATCACTTGAGCCCAAGAGTTCAAGACCAGCCTGGGCAACATAGTGAGACTCCACCTCTACAAAGAAAAAAAAATTAGCCAGGCATGGTGGCATGCACCTGTGGTTCCAGCCACTCAGGAGTCTGAGGTGGGAGGATCACCGGAGCCTGGGAAGTTGAGGCTGCAATGGGTGTGATTGCACCTTTGCACTACAGATTACAGACTGGGACACAGAATGAGACCCCATCTCCGAAAAAAAAAAAAAAAAGAAAATCTACAAAAATATGTGTTTCTGTGGACTAGCTAAATATATTAGTGTTATATTATTAGGGAAATTTGATGAGTTAAACCCATTATTTAAATGCCATAACTAAGGCCACATCACGTCTTTACAGTGTAGTTTTAAACTAGACCATCCAGTTTCTAATGAAGAGACAACTCCGTCAGTTCCGACATGAGCCCAAACAAAACTTTATCCCCCCATAAAGTGGATTACAGATATGCACACACATCAGCAAGGGAAGCATGACAACAGTTCATTTAATGCTGTTATATGCAACCCTATATTGTATTCTGAACACAATGAAAATAAGATGTGGCCCAAGCATGGTGGCTTACGCCTGTAATCCCAGCACTTCGGGAGACCAAGATGGGAAAATCACTTGAGCTCAGGAGTTTGAGACCTGCCTGAGCAACATAGCGAGATCTTGTCTCTGAAAAAATATATTCTTTTAAGTGAAAAAAAAAATAAGATGAGATGTCTGCCCTTCAGCATATAATAATAATAATTTTAGAGCATCTATTCTACACCAGACATTGTGACTAAATGCCATACAAGGCACTGTTATAATTTCCAATGTACATATGGTAGGGCTGAAGTTTAGGAAGTTTAGCTTGTTCAAATGAGAACACATGGACACAGGGAGGGGAACATCACACATCAGGGCCTGTAGGGGGATGAGGGACAAGAGGAGGGAGAGCATTAGGACAAACACCTAATGCATGCGGGGCTTATAACCTAGATGATGGGCTGATAAGTTCAGCAAACCACCATGGCACATGTATACCTATGTAACAAACCTGCACATTCTGCACATGTATCCCAGAACTTAAAAATAAAATAAAATAAAAAAGTTTAGCTTGTTCAGCATCCCATAGTAAGACACTGAGATGCAGGACTCAGGCTCTTAACTGAACAACACCCTATTACACAGATGCTACTTGAAGAAACAGATCAGCCCACCTACCTGACTTGACACCTTATAAATGAAATAGCCCTGTGAGCACACCTCAATGCAATCTCAGAAGATCCTCCCAAGCTATTTCACTTATTTACAAGGGAAATTGGAAATTGTTGCTGTAGCTGACAATATATTTATTGAAAACATTAGAGTGGAAGAAGTAAAGTACAAGTGAATTTGACATTTCAGAACATTTTGGCTTTTTGTCAAAGGTATTTGAAATTGCAAATGAGGCTTTGGCAGTTACTGAAAAGATGTATCAACTGAGTTCAGGAGATGAGTTTTGGGGTCAATCTTGAATTCTCTTCCTAGGGAAGATCTGTGTTGGTGAAGCATAGAGTTTGCAAAGGCATTCCTCTGAATTTGTGCTATTTATACAGAAGAGCTCTCCTTTCCTGTGGATTTCATTTACACGATTGGAAAAATTACCTCTTTATTCGAAATAATCTTTGTGAAATTATATTTTCCAATATATAATAAAAGAGGTGAATCTGGGAAAAGTGTGTAGTAAAAAATTTGACTTGGACATGCCATTAGGTTAAAAGATTGAATTAGGATTTATTTTAAAGATTCAGCATGGCAAAGAGGAAAGTGGCCAACTTTAGGATCTATAAATCCGATGTTGAATACTGGCCTGGCCTCGTCCTCATGCAGTGACCTTGAAGGTTTCTTATGAAAAGAGAACTCTTGTTAGTGCCTGGTATTTGGCTTTTACTCACAAGCTGATCACTGTTGCTCTATTTGTCACTGAGATTTTCATGGTGATAGTGAGGTAATGATGGTGATAATGAGGTTAAATTTTTTAAGTATCTCAGAAATGGGAGAAAATATTACAAGCATTGAATTATAAATGTGTGCCTATTGAGCTTATGCAAGAATAAGGCAGAACTTTCCCTCAAGGTGCATAGGTATTATTGAAGAAATAATACAGACAGAATTACAAACATCGACTATATGATAAACTTTTGAAGTGCACCTTGCGAATAGATCCAAAGGAGGGTTGGGTTTTTGCTAGAAGGATTCATACTCATTTGAACAACTCAATGGAGTATAAATAATTGAAATAAAATACCTTAACATGTTTATTCAATTACCGAAGCCAGTCTTATAAATTATAACACAGAAGCATAGACATATTTTTATTTGGGTATATTGTTTCTTGCCTTTAGGACGTTATAATGAGGTATCACATTTAAACATAAGGCTGACATAAAACGTCAAAACAGATATATGAGGGATATGACTAAAAGTTGTTCTTTCCAAATATAGGTGCACAACTCAAAAATGTCTAACTTATAAGAACTTTCCATCTGTATGAGATTAACCAGTTAACTTGTTATCATACCTAATGAGTACACTCCTGGTATAGTTAACTTTTAAAACAGCTGAACTTTATAATACATGATTATGAGTAGACAATATTTCAGAGATCCTAAAAAGCTTGTTTAAAATGTCTCTTTTGATTAGAATGAAAGATAAACAGTGACAGATGATGCCTATTGTCTCCATGGTAATTACACTAATTAAAAGTAACATGGCTATGCTGTGTAGCTGCCTGGACTTTGAGAAAGACCTCATGCCACAGGGCTGAGGAACATTCCTGTGGATCCCTAGTACACACGGGATCAAAGGGATACCTTAATCTATAGTTTCCTAAAAACAAAGAGTTAAGTTGCTTTTAAAAATTAAAAAATATATATACATTATTTTTATTATTTTAAAAGTATGGAAAGTCACTGGGGAAAGGAGGGGAAAGCATTTATTTTTATACAGTTACTTAATTACCTCCAAAACACAAATTTTGGAAATCATATTTGCTGGTGCAAGTATTTTAATGAACAAGAATCCATATATTGAGGTTATGATTAGAGAGCTCAATGTATGCATTTGCCATCTTGCTTAAGCTCGGCAGAGCATGAAAACCTAAGTTTATTCCCAAAGTATATAACTTCAAATAAAAAAAAAACTTCAAGTTCCAGCCACACACTCTCTCTCTCGCTCCGTACCTCCCTCTTCATCGTCTCTCTATATATCTTACATACTTTAAAGCCCCAGCCAGGTGCAGTGGCTCACACTTGTAATCCCAGAACTTTGGGAGGCCAAGGCAGGTGGATCACCTGAGGTCAGGAGTTCAAGACCAGCCTGGCCAAGATGGCAAAACCCCATCTCTACTAAAAATACAAAAATTAGCTGGGCATGGTGGCACGCCTGTAATCCCAGCTATTTGGGAGGCTGAAGTAGGAGAATTGTTAGAACCCGGGAGGTGGAGGTTGCAGTGAGCCGAGATCACGCCACTGCACTCAGCCTGGGGACAGAGCGAGACTCTGTCTTAAATAAATAAATGAATAAATAAAATAAAATAAAGTCCCACTTCACTTCTCAAATGGGACTTCTGATTAACATTTTGGTTTGTAAACCAGGGAATAACTCCTACATTTTATTCATTCAGGGAGAACAGACTATATGCTGGGTCATATGTTATGTTCATATTTTCTCTGACTCTCATTCATGAAGATGTCTGCCTTTCATTAATTTGTTTTCTTGTCACTCTGTGAAAACATAACTTCAAGACTCACAGACACTGAAAAATACTATTTTTCAACCACTAATTTCTAACGTTGGTGAAGGCAAGCTTCATTTCCCCCAGGAAGCTTTCACTTTGAAGATACAAACTCCCTGAGTGGAACAGGAGTTTTATCTTCACTTTGGAGCTCTAGAGGACCATAGACAGAATCTAGTCCAACATTACAGATAAAGAAACTGAGGCCTAGAGGAGACAGGTGACTTGTAGAAAGGTCCTACAGGGAGTAGCAGAACCCGAACCCACATGCAGTCCACCTAACTCTGAGACCGGGTCGCACTGACAATGCCATGTCCACCTTCATTACAGCACAAAATTCAGGGAATGGGGAGCATCTATAGAGCTCTTGGGAAATAAAACACCAAAGCTTACAGATCCACTGATGAACCCAGTGCTGCATTTATAGACCCACGTTAAGGGTCAAGCACACACGTCAGCTAGTGAAGAAAAGAAATTCTGACCTGGACAGAGTACATTAGCATCCTTATAGTTGCATTTGCTAAATAAGTCTCTTCTAAGCTCAACTCTCTGAAGAACCTCCAGGAGTTATGAGAGGTTTTGAAGAGAAATTGTAATTACTTGGGCCTTGACGAAAAGGATGAAAAAAGGTCTTTAATAGTTTTGTGAAGGAACAAGAGGATTTTGTTCATGGCCATAAAAACTAAACTCAGCAAAGGAGAAAACATAAGGCAATGGAGAAAAAACAGCCTTCTCAACAAACGGTACTGAAACAATGGGACATCCACATGAAAAAATGAGTCTAGACAAAGACCTTATGAGCTTTGCAAAAATTAACTCAGAGTAGATCATAGACCTAAATGTAACATGCAAAACTGTAAAATCCTAGAGGATAACATCAGAGAAAACCTGGATGACCCTGGATACGGTGATGACTTTGCAGATGATCCAGGAATTGCACTCCTTGCTATTTACCCAAAGGAGTTGAAAACTTATGTGCACACAAATACATTCACACAGACATTTATAGCAGCTTTACTCATATTTGCCAAAATATGGAAGAAACCAAGATGTCCTTCATTAACTGGCTGAATAAAAAAACTGTGGTACATTCAGGCAACACCAATGAAAGAAATATTTTGTAAGCTAGAATTTATTAAAGTTAAAAACTGGCTGTGCATGGTGGCTCACGCCTGTAATCCCAGAATTTTGGGAGGCCAAGGCGGGTGGATCACCTGAGGTCAGGAGTTCAAGACAAGCCTGGTCAACATGGTGAAACCCTGTCTCTATTAAATATACAAAAATTAGCTAGGTGTGGTGGCCGGCACCTGTAGTCCCAGCTACTCAAGAAGCTGAGGCAGGAGAATTGCTTGAACCCGGGAGGTGGAGGTTGCGTGAGCTGAGACACCACCACTGCCCTCTGGCCTTGGCGACAAAGCAAGACTCCATCTAAAAAAAAAAAAAAACCATAGATACTATGAGAATGAGAAGACAAGTCACAAACTGGGACAAAGTATATTCAAAAGTCATGTCTGATAGAGGACTGTTATCTGAGTTATATAAAGGACACTTAAAGCTCAACAATAAGAAAACTAACAACCCGATTTTTAAAAGGGCAGAAGACCTGAAAAGATGCCTCATCCAAGAAGATATACAGATGGCAAATGAGTATATGAAAAGATGTACAACATCATATGTCACTGGAAATTGCAAATCAAAACAACAGAGAGACACCACTACACACCTATTAGAATGGCTTAAATCCAAAACACTGACAACACTAAAAACTGGCAAGGATGTGAAGCAACAGGAATTTTCATTCATTTCTGGGCAATGCAAAATAGTACAGCCACTTTAGAAGAGAGTTTGGCAGTTTTAAAAAAACTAGGCCAGGCGCGGTGGCTCACGCCTGTAATCCCAGCACTTTGGGAGGCGGAGGCGGGCAGATCACGAGGTCAGGAGATCGAGACCATCCTGGCTAACATGGTGAAACACCATCTCTACTAAAAATACAAAAAAATTAGCTGGGTGTGGTGGTGGGTGCCTGTAGTCCCAGCTGCTGGGGAGGCTGAGGCAGGAGAATGGCGTGAACCCGGGAAGGCGGAGCTTGCAGTGAGCCGAGATCGCGCCACTGCACTCCAGCCTGGGCGACAGAGTGAGACTCCGTCTCAAAAAAAAAAACAAAAAAAACTGAACATATTCTTACCAGATGATTTAGCAATTGCATTCCTTGATATTTCCCCAAAGGAGGTGAATACTTGGGTCCACACAAAAACCTGCACACAGATGTTTACAGCAGTTTTATTCATAATTGCTAAAATGTGGAAGCAATCAAGACGACCTTCAGTAGCTGAATGGATAAATAATCTGTGGTACATCCAGACAATGGAATATTATTCAACCTAAAAAGATGAGACCTATCAAGCCATGAAAAGACATCAAGAAACCCTAAGTGGACATTACTAAGTAAAAGAAACCCAATCTGAAAAGGCTAACTACTTTTGATTCTAAGTGTATGGCATTCTGGAAAAGGCAAAACTTTGGAGACAGTAAAAAGATCAGCATTTGCCACTTGTTAGGGAGGAGGGAGAGATGAATAGACAAAGCACAGAGGCTTTTGGGGCACTGGAACTATTCTGTATAATACTATAACGGTGGATACATGTCACTACACCTTTGTCAAAACCTATATTATGTACAACGCCAAGATTAAAATCTGTTGCAAACTATAGACTCTGGATGATAATGATGTATCCATGTAAGTTGGTTGTGACAAGTGTACCCCTCTGGTGAGGGGTGCTGATTGATCACGGGGGAGGCAGTGCGTGTGTGGAGGCATAGGGTATATGAGAATTCTCTGTACTTTCCACTCTGTTTTGCTGTGAAACTAAAACTATTCTGTGGAATAAAGTGTATTGTTTTTCTTAAAAAGGTAAACTTAGCCGGGCGCGGTGGCTCACGCCTGTAATCCCAGCACTTTGGGAGGCCGAGGCGGGTGGATCACGAGGTCAGGAGATCGAGACCATCCTGGCTAACAAGGTGAAACCCCGTCTCTACTAAAAATACAAAAAATTAGCCGGGCGCGGTGGCGGGCGCCTGTAGTCCCAGCTACTCGGGAGGCTGAGGCAGGAGAATGGCATGAACCCGGGAAGCAGAGCTTGCAGTGAGCCGAGATTGCGCCACTGCAGTCCGCAGTCCGGCCTGGGCGACAGAGCGAGACTCCGCCTCAAAAAAAAAAAAAAAAAAAAAGGTAAACTTAGTTTAAACCTAATGTGAGACTTAATCATTATCAAAAAAAGGGAAAATGCTTCCAATTGAGAATTCCTGGAATTTACTGGTGTTTAGTAAAATTAAAGGCCAATGATGAAGAAAGTTAAGGTCTGCCACAGGCTGGATATCTTGTAATGACTTTCTTTATAACTAGTGTATTTTGAAAAGTAAAAGAACTTTATGGGTAGTGAAAACTTAATGAAAATTGCAACCGTCTCATTAGATGGTATCACAGGCATTTAGGTATGTTCAAAGGTCTATGGTTGGGCCGGGTGAGGTGGCTCATGCCTGTAATCCCAGCACTTTGGGAGGCCCAGGTGGGCGGATCACGAGGTGAGGAGATCGAGACCATCCTAGCTAACATAGTGAAACCCTGTCTCTACTAAAAATATACAAAAATTAGCTGGGCCTGGTGGCAGGCGCCTGTAGTCCCAGCTACTCCGGAGGCTGAGGCAGGAGAATGGCGTGAACCCGGGAGGCGGAGCTTGCAGTGAGCAGAGATCCCGCCACTGCACTCCAGCCTGGGCGATACAGCGAGACTCCGTCTTAAAATAAATAAATAAATAAATAAACAAAGGTCTATGGTTTACTAAAAGAGTGATATTCCAATTCAATTATATTTAACGTTTTGGTGAGACATATTTTTAAAAACATGAACCAATAAAACCAAACAGTTTTACTTTAAAAAGTACAAGTTAACTAAGCATGCTAACACATTTCTCAAGAGATGGATGAAACCCCACACCTAGTGGGGTCTAGCAAAAAAAAAAAAAAAAAAAAAAAAAAAAAGAAGTGCCCATTTTTGGGAATAAAAAGTATTTACCCCAGTCTTTTTTTTTGTTTTGATAAGGAGTCTGGCTCTGTCGCCCAGGCTGGAGTGCAGTGGCGGGATCTCAGCTCACTGCAAGCTCTGCCTCCTGGGCTCACGCCGTTCTCCTGCCTCAGCCTCCCTACCCCAGTCTTTACTATTTAATACAAGATGTCTAGATTTAAAATGAATTACAAGCTACACAAAAAGGCAAGAAACAACCCATTTCCAAGTGGCCGAGCAATCATCAAAACCACACTCAACACTCAGCTCTGACACAAGTGTTTGTTAGAATTTTCTGATAGAAAATTTAAAAACAACTGTAATTAATATGGTAAAAGCTCTAATGAAGAAACTGGCACCATGCAAAATCAGATGAGTAATTTCAGCAGAGATATGGAAACTATAATATGAATAAAATGGAAATGCTAGAAATAAAACTTTGGTAACAGAGATAAAGAATTCCTTTGATAGACTCGTCAATAGACTTCATGTAGCCAAGGAAAGACTCTTGCACTTAAGAAGGGAATCAATAGAACTCGCCCAAACTGAAATACAGAGGAAAACAAGAATGGGGAAAAAATAGAACAGAGCATTCAAGAACTAGGGATATCTATTCCATGTTATTAAACAATCTAGTACAGATATAATTGGAATCTGAGAGACATATGTGAAGAAGTAATGTCCAAGAATATTCCAGAAGTTAACAACAGACTGGAAACCACAAATCCAAGAAAATTGGAGAACATCAAACAAGGAAAATAAAACATAACAACTTGGGTATATAATTGTCAAGCTATTAAAAACAAAAGGCTTCTTCTCCAGATTTCTATATGTTTTTAAGGAATTAAAGGAAAGGCCTTCTGAAGAAACCATAAAAGCCATTACTTTCTTTTGCAAAGGACAAAACTTAAGCAAAGAACTAACTTAAACATGAAGAGGAATTGACTGTCTCATATAAATGAAAAGTAAGATATATTTTCTAATCCAGAATATTTCTGGATTCAGGAATTAAATAGTATCATCAGGATTGTGTGATTCTGTTGCTGACATCTGCCTTTCACCCTGCTGGGGCCCAGAAACCCATACACCAAAATACAGTGCTTTGACATGATGAACTCCAGAAGAAACTTCAAGGTCTCTTTTTTTTTTTTTTTTTTTTTTGAGACGGAGTCTCGCTCTGTCACCCAGGCTGGAGTGCAGTGGCACGATCTCCTCTTACTACAAGCTCCACCTCCCAGGTTCACGCCATTCTCCTGCCTCAGCCTCCTGAGTAGCTGGGACTACAGGCGCCCGCCACCGCACCCGGCTAATTTTTTGTATTTTTAGTAGAGACGGGGTTTCACTGTGTTAGCCAGGATGGTCTCGATCTCCTGACCTTGTGATCCGCCCACCTCAGCCTCCCAAACTGCTGGGATTACAGGTGTGAGCCACCACGCTCGGCCACTTCAAGGTCTCTTTGACCTTCCCTCCTCTCCTTTCTCTCCCAAAGCACGAGATAAAGTTGTTCTCTGAAGTTTCTTTATAGGCCTAAAGTATGGAACTAACATAGAAGAAAACAATTACCTCTGGTATTCTCCCTGAGTTTTCCTTAACTGAAATCGTATTGAAGGAAGAAAGACTGAAGTCTGCCAACATATCTGGACAGACTTTTGTCACAAACCATTGTCTGCTCTGTGGGCCCGACACACTTGGTCCCAGGTCATTGTATGTTCTTCAAACCCATTGAATCTCCCCCAAAATTATTTACTACCCTTCTAAAATCATTCACACTTCCCTACTTCTCTTTCCCTTAATAAGAGTGAATAATCACCTGTACCCCAATTTGTGGTGGAGCAATCATTCTGTGATTCTCTCTCATATACCCTAGTAAATGTATACGCCATTTATCTCACTAATCTGCCTTTTGTGAGTTGATTTTTCAGTCAATCTACTGAAGGCAAAAAGATAAGCTTTCCCTTGGCCCCTAACTCTATTGGTCAATAGAGTGTGATACTGAAGGATTTGATACAGAATCAAAAATCAATGGTTAGATCATGTCATAGATCCTCCACTTTGATCAATATAGCTTTAAATTCTCTGGGAGTGATTCTTAACTAATGATGGTCATCAGAGTCACGTGGGAACAATTTCTGAAGACAGATTCCAAGATCATATGAATACAAGAATAGGGCTTGAAGATGCACATTCCCAAAATCTCTTCATGGAATTCTGATGACTTCCCTTTTTGTAAACTAGGTTTTTTGAACCCTGTCTACCTCTTAATGTCTATCCAAGAGAAGACAAGATAAAGACCTTTGAAATAATGCTTAAGATTTGCATAATCAGCCAGGTGCAGTGGCTCATGCCTGTAATCCCAGCACTTTGGGAGGCCGAGGTGGGCAGAT
The DNA here is from genome assembly GCF_000001405.40 of Homo sapiens. Classification (NCBI taxonomy): domain Eukaryota; kingdom Metazoa; phylum Chordata; class Mammalia; order Primates; family Hominidae; genus Homo; species Homo sapiens. Next base: position 360,138 of record NW_025791789.1, read on the forward strand.
CACAAGGTTGGGAGATTGAGACCATCCTGGCCAACACGGTGAAACCCCGTCTCTACTGAAAATACAAAAACAAAAAAATTAGCCGGGTGTGGTGGCGGGCACCTGTGGTCCCAGCTACTTGGGAGGCTGAGGCAGGAGCATGGCATGAACCTGGGAGGCAGAGCTTGCGGTGAGCCAAGATCGCGCCACTGCACTCCACCCTGGGAGACACAGCGAGAGTCCGCCTCAAAAAAAAAAAAAAAAAAAAAAAAGATTTGCATAATGTTAATCATTGTCTAGCTATGCAGATTCTATTAACAGTTTCCAGAAAAGCAACCTGTTCTGGATGTTATTACATGTTTAAGTTAAATGAGCTCTCTTCTTTTAAAAGAAACAGAACCAAGAACCAATGACTTTCAGAGAATGATTAACTCTCCAACAATAGCCCCTGCCAAAAGTAATGTGACATGAGAGTCTAGAAATTATTTTCTACACTGAAATAAAATTTGCATTATACTGGCAATAAACTATTTCTAGATGCATGAAAGCATCTGCATAGTCAAAAGGCTTAGGGAAGTCTCTCCTGGAGAAAAGCATCCCCAGATGAACGTACTTCCTCTGTAATGGGTGATGGGCAGAACAGAAACACCTGAGCACCGGACTGGAGGTGAAAAGTCCTATGTGGGACTGATTAGATTTGGAATCTTGGAAGTTACAAGTCATTTATGAAGTCTCAGATTACCATATGTAAAATGAAGGGTTTTTAATGAATGGCTGCAATCTAGAGTTTCTATTCACAAGTGTTCTTAAATGTGCTGATTCTAATTGGGGTTAGAAAGATGAGCCCCTGACTTCCTCCCCGAGCCCCTGATTTTTGCTAGCCTGTTGCTTTTCTCTGTACTAATTTCCTCTTCCACAGTTTTTATAACAACAGTGTTAAAAAGGCTAATTGGCTGGAGAAGTATGGCAGATAGCGCAAATTCCAATAGAAGAGCCAATAAGAAGACACTTTACAGAGGAGTTGACTGATGAGCACAGGGACCTTGGGAGCTCTAAGCATGCCAAAAGTTTAGGTTGTAAGAAGGAAGGTTTAGCAAACAGAAGATTTCAAGGGCTTTGTGGTCTGTGTTAAGGGTTTTGGGGTTTGTCCTGTGGAGCCACAGGGATGAAATGGAAACCATTACACTCCCTCTGCCTCTCTTGGTTCATGTGTCCAAAAATGACCCACTCAAGCTCCAGTGCCTCTTGCCTGATGCCTTCCTTCATCACTTGCTGGATACACTGTCCTGAAACAGTGACTTTGTCACGCTTTCATTTTTCAAAAACATATTCCTAATGTAGAGAGTCTGGAGAGGAGCAATGGTAAAGGCAAGAAAACGAGTTTGCAAATTGTTGTAAATGATTCATAAAATAGATATTGATGTTGTTAATTAAGGCAGCAGCCTGGGATAAAGAGTCGTCCATGAGTTTGAGAGATGTTAAGAAGGTAGAGTAAGCAGTACTTTCTTTTTTTTTTTTTTTTTTTTGAGACGGAGTCTTGCTCTGTCACCCAGGCTGGAGTGCAGTGGCACGATCTCAGCTCACTGCAACCTCTGTCTCCTGGGTTCAAGCAATTCTCCTGCCTCAGCCTCCCGAGCAGCTGGGACTACAGTCGCACACCACCACGCCCGGCTAACTTTTGTATTTTTAGTAGAGACGGGGTTTCACCATATTGCCCATGCTGGTCTCGAACTCCTGACCTCATGATCCACCCGCCTCGGCCTCCCAAAGTGGTGGGATTACAGGCGTGAGCCACCGCGCCCAGCCAGTACTTTCTTATTAACTGAATATCGAGGTAGAGGATGAGTGGCAGGAGAGATAGTGAAAAAAAAGCTCAGGGTAACTCCACGTCTGACTTACATAACTGAAGGGACATAATGCCATTTATTAAAACAGGGATGTCTGCAAATTATTTGATTGAGGAAACAGAGAAAATGAGTTCAGTTTTGCATATCTGTTTTTGAGATGTTTGTCTTTGGTGCTTAACTATTTGTATAGCATTTGCCCAGGAGATAGAACTGGCCAGAGATTTGGGGTTATCGCCAACTGAGACCAATAAGTAGTTTAGATCCTCACTATTCAAAGTGTGGTGTATGGCCCAGGAGCATGGACATCATTTGAAAGCTTGTTTGAAATGCACGATTTCATCCTTCATCCCAGACCTATTGAATAAGAATATGCATTTTAAGATTCTCAGATAATTTATATGTACATTAAAATTGGAAACCACTGGTTTACATTACTCAGAAGAATACATTGTGAAAAATAAGCTCAAGGATGGAACATGAGAGACATCACATTCAAGAAGCAGGCAGGAAGAATGGTTAGCAATGGAGACCAAGGAGGCACATTCAGAGACCTTAGAAGAGGGTGTGGAAAAACGGTATCATGGAAGCCAGGGAAAGACAGGGTTACAAGATGAAAGGCTTAACACCTGAAAATTCCAGAGTCAGATGAGCTCGGATCTGACTACTGAGGAATTGACGGCTTCAATGTTTATAAGAGTGCGTAGACCCAAGGAAGTGGGTGGAGACCTAACAAGGAAGTGATGGAAGACTTTTTTTTTGGAGAAGTTTGGCCTTGAAGAGGTAATGGCCGTGGCTGAGGGAGAGAGTGGGTGGATAGAAAGCAAGGTCTGAAATGTAGAATTGGTTTTTCTCTTCACAGGAAAAAATGTTGATCATGTTTATAAATTGAAAAGATTAAAAATATATGAAAGGGAAGACTGATGTTAATAATTGGACAGCATCTTGATTATGACTGAGTAAACAATGTGAGGATGGACTGCCTTTGAGCAGAAGGGTTTTTCCCTCCAAGCCTTCTCAGGTTAGAAGACAAGAACGTGAGCGTGATTGCATGCAAATATGGGTAATATCTTGATGTGGTTGGTTGTTTTAGAGCATGACAATGGAGAGACTTTCTGGCTGATAATCAAATTTTCTTTGTGAATGAAAGGCAAAATCTTCTGAGGGGTGGTGAAGATTTGGTAGAGCCATAGGAGAAATGGAAGAGGATGCTGGAAGTTCTGCAAAGCTGCTCCCGTGGCTGTAAATCATGAGACCAACCTCACTTGGTGGGTGAATTCTTGTGGCAACACTCTATAGCCCAGGGACAGGAACGGGAAAAGTCATGGTTGTTTTGATCCAGTTTGAAAGTTGGAGTGTTATGGGTTGAAGCATGTGGAGAGTGCTGATGAACACGATCAGAACCAAAGAGAACAGATTGAAGCTTTGAGGGGGAAACTTGAAAGGGAGTGGAGGGACTGGCAGGATAAGTGAGATGAAAGTGGACACAGTTTAGAGTTTAGAATTTAGAAGGGAATTAGTTCTCAGTACTGGTACCACCTAGTGTGGAGTGGGTAAAGAGACCAGTGAGGGAAACTGAATATAATAGGGTTTCAAGTTACAATCCTGTCAGAATCAGTTTAGAAGTCGTCTTCCAGACTCCAGTAGCCAAGAGACTTCACATCCGAGGCAGGAAAATCTCTGAAAGTATGAGTTCCAGTTTTCTTGTTTCTTATCACCTGCCTTTGAGTGAGTCATGTCACTCAAAGGCAGGTGATGAGGACTTGGAGACACTTGGAGTTCAATGGGCCTGACCCACTGAGTTGCAGATAAAAATTCACTTCTTTATTTAATTCTTAACCAATTAAATATGCAGTGAGTATGTAGGGTACTCAAAAATGTATTTCAACAGTCATCAGAGCTGCTATAAAGACCACTGAAATATGTCTTAATTATCACAGTTTGTCTAAGAAGAGAAGGCTAACACATTTGAAATACGTACAAGAGACTACGTAATTACAGGTAATTGCCAAATTATAAATATTGACTATGGGACAGGAGCAGTGGCTCACACCTGTAATTCCAGCACTTTGGGAGGCTGAGACGTGCAGATCACGAGGTCAGGAGATCGAGACCATGCTGGCTAACATGGTGAAACCCTGTCTCTACTAAAAATACAAAAAATTAGCTGGGCGTGGTGGCGTGCACCTGCAGTCCCAGCTACTTGGGAGACTGAGGCAGGAGAATGGCATGAACCTGGGAGGCAGAGCTTGCAGTGAGCTGAGATCATGCCACTGCACTCCAGCCTGGTGACAGAGTGAGACTCCATATCAAAAAAATAAAAAAATATATAAATAAATAAATAAATAAATATTGACTATGCAAGTTATAGGAGGTTATAGGAGTTCATGTGACTAAGTAAATCAAGGGGAGGAGTGTAATCAAGGCATCTGTCCCCCTGATAGGTAGACTTTGAATGGGTAGAGGAAATAAGAATGGGCAGGCATCTAAGACAGGCCAAATGCCCCAAGGCATAAATGAACATGGTATGTTTGTGTGGAAGAAAAGGGATGGGCCAAATAGATCTGAGGTGCTGAGTTGAAGTGTGTCAAATGATGCTTCTGTAAGGTGTGATAAGGTCAGATTATAGAAGGCTGTGCTAACCTAATGGAGAGAAAAGCTCACAGATAATAAAATGAGGGAGTCACTAGGTCTAAGCAGAGATAAAGAAATACAAACTTTCACAGATTATAAGCAATAGAAGATATTCTTTAAAAAATTAAATGCATACAAATGAAAATATCTGCATAAGAAGACTAGAGCTATATAAGGAACACAACGAAGTTGGGAAATATTGTGAATAATACTACCATCATGAAGACAACTCTCTATATTAAGTAAGTTATTTCAAAAAATAGGAGGAAATTCAAGAGCAGTAAAAAACAAAAGGAAAAAACTCTATTGTCAAGATCACATATGAGATAATGTAAATAGTTTAAAAAGTGGGAAAAATTTTATCTATCTAATAACCATAGACATGCAAGTTACAGTAGTTCAAAGCACCATTTTATGTCTAATTACTAATAAAATCTCTCTGAAAAGATAAGCCTTTCCTGGCAGTCCTGTGGAGAACGGGATGCATCATGTGCTACTTGTGACCTTGTAACCTAATGGGTGCATTCAGAAAGTAACATACAGATGCTATATAATTTATAAAAATTTCATCTTCCTTTAACTAATATCTCACTACCAGGAATTTATCCTAAGACAAGTTTTTTTTCTTTTTTTTGAGACAGAGTCTCGCTCTGTCACCCAGGCTGGAGTGCAGTGGCGCAATCTCCACTCACCGCAACCTCTGCCTCCTGGGTTCACACGATTCTCCAGCCTCAGCCGCCTGAGTAGCTGTGATTACAGGTGCTCGCCACCACACCCGGCTAATTTTTTGTGTTTTTAGTAGAGACGGGGTTTCACTGTGTTAGCCAGAATGTTCTCGATAAATCTCCTGACCTTGTGACCTCCGCCTCCCAAAGTGCTGGGATTACAGGTGTGAGCCACAGCGCCCGGGCGTTTTCGCTTGTTCAAGTGATTCTCCTGCCTCAGCCTCCTGAGTAGCTGGGATTACAGGCACCCACCACCACGCCTGGCTAATTTTTTGTATTTTTAGTAGAGACGGGGTTTCACTGTGTTAGCCAGGATGGTCTCGATCACCCGACCTCATGATCTGCCGGCCTCGGCCTCCCAAAGTGCTGGGATTACAGGCGTGAGCCCCCTTGCCTGGCCCATAGTATGTTTTATAAGTGTTCTGAAATCAAGTAATAAGAGTTTTTTTTAATGAAGGTGAGATAAGTTTCTGGCAAATGTAGAACTTGAGAATTAATGAAGTGTATACTTCTCATTTTCTACTCTAACCTTTTGAAATTAATACAATTTTAACATGAAATATTTCCATGAAATTACAAGAGAACTTTGATGTTTGTTTCTGCATTCTGGGCTCCCAGAAACATGGTGTAGCATGGTCTGACCTGCATATCTTTGGAAATTTATAATAGGTTTCATTGTCTGATCTTAACCAAAACCCAATCCTTAATAAAATAGCCCAGTATATATATGGTTTTTTTCCTCTACTAAATGAATTACAATTCTCTGCTAGCTACCAGCACGGGGAAAATTAAAGAGAAAACCTTTCTTTCCTTACAGTGCATGAATTCTACCAGTGTGGAAGAGTGAGAAGAACCCAAGCTTCAGAGTTTTACAGCCACAGGATCAGATTTTAGTCTATTCCACTACCCAAAACTAGGCAAGTTTTCTGGGGTCATCTAGCCTCTATGACCTCATCGGTAACAACAGGCTTCACTGTGGCTTAAGTGAGATAATGAGTAGAAATGGAATGGTTTGGGCCAGGCACAGTGGTTCACGCCTGTAATCCCAGCACTTTGGGAGGCTGAGGTGGGCAGATCACCTGAGGTCGAGAGTTTGAGACCAGCCTGACCAACATGGAGAAACCCCATCTCTACTAAAAATAGAAAATTAGCCGGGCATGGTGGCATATGCCTGTAATCCCAGCTACTCAGGAGGCTGAGGCAGGAGAATCGTTTGAACCCAGGAGGCGGAGGTTGTGGTGAGCTGAGATTGTGCCATTCCACTCCAGCCTGTGCAACAGGAGCGAAACTCCATCAAGAAAGAAAGGAAGGAGGGAAGGAAGGAAGGAGGGAGGGAGAGAGGGAGGAAGGAAGGAAGGAAGGAAGGAAGGAAGGAAGGAAGGAAGGAAAAAAAAAAAAAGAAATGTAATAGTCTGGTAGGGTGATTCCCAAACTGCTGCACATTAGAATGAAGTGGGAAGCTTTTAGAAACACAGCGTCCACATTGCACGCAACATCCATGAAGTCAAAATATTAGGCATGGGAACCAGGCATCAACAGTTTTTAAAGATCCAAGATGATTCCATTGTGCAGCAAAATTTGGAAACCAGTGCCTAGCACAAAGCAGGTACTCAGCAAAAGTCAACTTTCTTTATCTTTCAATGTGTGGTGTATTTGCCAGCTTTCGGGTAGCACTTCCTTATCTTCAATCCTTAAAACTCTGCAGCAGAGTGGCACTGCATAGGTAAATGCTACACTGACATCTTGCTGCATGCCGCACTTTACTGCAGTGGAAAATAATGAGGAGCTAGCCAATACCCATTATTAAAGTGTCACACAAGTGTTTCATCCCATCCAGTCACATTTTCCAGGGGCTTCCAATTCACACTTTCGTAAATGCGGCCGTTTCCTCTTCCTGTGACTTAGATGAGATGGAAACAGACATGCTCTCAAGTATCATATTAGCTTTTTTTCAGAACTTCTTTAGTTTTCTGGTGAGGCATCTGTGCCTCCTAGAAATGCACTTTAGACCCTGCTATACAGAAAAGTAAATTTTCTTACAACTGGTCTGAAGCATATGTATTATTCTTTTAGATCTGATGTATCAAATGCCCACGGCCCTAGGTATGCCTGTGTTTCTTTAATCTATAATGATCATTTTATACAATGTTCTGGCACCTTGCCCAGCACACTCCTTTACCTATAGCAGGTTTAGCAGGCTGGGTAATTGCCCCTTTTAAAGTTGTCTGCACTCAACACTGCCCTGTCTGGTAAATGCAATTAGAAGCAAATCCTTGGGTGTATCACCCCAGACTTTTTATTAAGCTCATATGGCATTCTCATTGCCACTATTTCTCACCAGGTTACTCATTAACCACGGGCAGCCAAAGGTCTGGATCATATCAGACGGTGACTTTCCGACCCATGAGACTCCCTTGTTCACCTTAAATATAAACCACATAGAGAAGAAACTGGGGATTTGCATGCCTGAAAGCTGACGGTGGCCATAACAAAAGCAATAAACAGAAATCCTAGAGATAGTGATGACAGAAGAAATGTCAAGGAGTTAGAGGGAGCACTTTGTGTTGGCACTGAAAGCAGCCAGAAGAAGACTCAGAGTGAGACAGAAGTTGACTCATGCAACAAACCTTCACCACTGACAGTCAAACAAAATGACTGAGGAGCGTCTCAATCATGTTAGAGGTTTATTTTGACAAGGTTAAGAACGCACCCGGGAAAAAGGAACACAAAACCACAAGGACAATCTGTGATCCATGCTTTTTCCGAAGAGGGCCTGCGAATTTTAGTATTTAATGGGAAAGAGCAGGCAGTAGGAGAAAGAGGAAGAAAAGAAAAAAGGGGGAGGGTAGATAAAAGGGGCAGGCAGTTGCATTCTGTTGAGTCTTTGATCAGTGTGCACTGAATCCACATTTCACATGTCAAAGGAAGGGGTAGAGAAATAGTCAATTATGCATTCATCTCACACTCAGTGAATCTGCATTTTTACATAAGATAAAATAAACATAAAGTAGAGGAAGTAATCAGATATGCATTTGTGAACCCAGAAAATCTGAGACAGGTCTCAGTTAATTTAGAAAGTTTATTTTGCCAAGGTTGAGGACGCATCCATGACACAGCCTCAGGAGGTCCTGATAGCATGTGCCCAAGGCAGTTGGGGCACAGCTTGATTTTTACATTTAGGGAGACATGAGACATCAATCAATAGATATAAGAAGTACATTGGTTGGGTCTGGAAAGGCAGAACAACTGGAAGCAAAGGCAGGAAGACTCAAAGCTGGGAGGGAGCTTCCAGGTCACAGATAGGTGAGACACAAACAGTTACATTCTTTTCAGTTTCTGATTAGCCTTTCCAAAGGAAGTAATCAGATATGACTCCTTTGGTGCCGGGCGGCGGGTGGGGGGCGCTTTTAGTTCTATCCTTTGTCCTTTGTTCCGGGATCTGTGAAGATAGCTGTTCTCTTGCATTTTCTGGGTGAAATTCAACAGAACTGTTTTAGGGTAAAGATCTTGGGACCCACAAAGAATTTCGTTTTGAGCAAATTGTGAGAGAGGCATGTATCCTTTTAGATCTGTAGCTGTCTTATTTAGGAACAAAATGGGAGGCTGGTTGGCATGACCCAGTTCTCAGCTTGACTGTTCCCTTCAGCTTAGTGAGTTTGGGGTCCAGAGATTTTATGTTCCTTTTACAGCACTCAGGAGGAACTGAGCATAAGCCTATTTCTCACAGCTTTGAGGAGCACTAACTGAAGTGCTCAGTTAGCAGCATTTGAATTAATTATTTCACAGCTCATCCTTAACCAAATTATTTTTTAAATGATTCTAAAACTGGAGTTTTACCTTAAGCTTAGTATTTTGAGGTAATCTTAGCAGCAGGTGGACCTTAGCTCACTAAGAGCATGAGAGCTCTTAGTCACCTCACTCATCAGTGGCTTGGCTCCTCTTTCGGAAGGCATAAAGAACCTCATCCATCAGTGCCCACATACTCCTGTAAGCGCAGGCCCCTGTTCTTTGCTTCTGGGAAGCATCCATCTGGTCCTGTATTGCTGTCGTTCCTTTTCTGTCTGTTTTCCTATGCAAACCAATCTATCATTCTATTTTGTTGCCCCATTTCCAAGTCACTTGACCAGATGGATAACCACATAAAAATGGCTAAATAATTTAAGCTTAAAAATTAGGAGCAGGAAATAATGTAAACTGGAATAGTAAGAAAATGCTGAAGGTGAGACTTGTGGAGGGCTGGCATTGTGGACGTCTTTAAGATATAAGACTTTATTATAACAGTCAAAGCAAAGGGGACACGTAATTAATACAAGACTTTTTATCAAAGAGGAAAAGCTGTCATTTTCTCAGGAATCTAATACTATTCTAAGACTTAGGTTTAAAATGTATCAGGAGTGCCTTCTAAGTGACTGTGGAAAGGGGGAAATAGTAACTATATATTTTGAATGAGTGATTCTAGATCGTGGCTTCTATTTTATGCCTACTCTTCTCCCCTTGTCTCTTGTAAACTCACTTACAACTAGTTCATAATAATAAAACTAGAATGCAGAGTGGCCATACAGTACAGTGACTAAGCACGCCAGCTCTGAAGCCAGACCTTTTGGTTGGGATCTCAATACTGTTAATTTCCTCATTTGAAAGACCAGGGTAATATAATCCTTCAAGAGAGGGTTGTTATTAGGGTGGACCTGATAAATAGGGTGGACCATATAATTTGTCATACAGATGGATGCTTTAGAAAGTGCGATAATGTTTACTTGTCAAATTATTATCATGCTATTTTGACTATATTTTCTTATATGCTTTACTTGGAATATTTAAATTAGCCCATATGTAACTAGAGTCTAAAATCCATAGTTCAGGGAAATTGTGGTTGTATTTTGTCCCTTTAAAAAACACAGGGGCATTGGTGCCTAAATCATTGACCCCTGCAAAATGCAACAGGTTGCGTGGAAGTGAAACATAATGCCTCCAACCTGCTAGTTATTTACACATGTTGACCTAAGGAACACACAAGCCAGATATTCTTTAGGTTGTCTCTTTTTATTGTTAGACCACTGAATGGCAAAGTACTTGGTCTGCATTAGATTTATTTACTGTTAAAAGATTTTCAAGAAACTACAATTTAATAACATGTCCCTGAATTTTTTTCACGAGTTGAAATAATAAATATACAGTATCTATTCATCTATCCTGGAAAGCCCCTGATAAAAGCACTGCGTTTTCTTAATCAGTTTCCTTTTCTGTAGAATAAATTTCTGTTATGCTTCTTAATCAGCAAAATGACAAACAAATTAAGAAATAACCTCAAACTTAACAAAACAGAACAAAGTCTTCCCTGAAGGTCTTGGAGAACCACGTGAGATCAGATCACAACCCAAGGTCTGCCCTGAGAAATGGGGAAAGCCAGGGACCTGCCACACCTCCCTTCCTCTTGTCTAACTGGAGATGAGAAACTAACTTAATTTTCATGATCTTACTATGTTAGCCTCATACGTAATCATCTTCTCTTTTGTCTAAATGGTTCCCTATTTTCACCTTATACTTAACTATCATATATAGGGCATATGAATATATTTATCTCAGATCCCATTCAGAAGTTGTAAAGGAATACATTATTAATAAATCAAATATTTCTACATTACATGGAAGAAAGTGTGGAACAGTTAAGAGGATGGGTACTGGTCCCAAAGAGTCCAGAGTTTAAACCCTTACTCTATATTATCTACACGATCTGCGCATGTCGCTTATTTTTAATGAGTTTTAGTTTCCTCATTTGCAAACAGCGTGACACTTGTCCCAAAGGATTGAACTGAGGATTTAGTAAGATAACAGGTGTAGAGGGTGTCTTCACAGTGCTGGGCTCGTGTCAGGCCCTCGATAAATATTAATTCAATTCCCCTTCTCCTGCCCTACTACCATCCTTCGGCTCAGAGCAGCCAAAAGCTGGAAAAATAGGCTCCACCCAGAAACTGTAACAAGATAACGATAAAGCACAGTTGGACGGATCAGGGGTAATCTACTGAGTTATCCCTGTTTTAAACCATTGTGTTTGCTTCTGTGCATAGGAGAATCACCCCATGCTGAAGGGCACGTGGAACATTTGCACAGTTGCCCTTGGGAACATGAAGAACAACCGTTCCCTTAGCCAAGCCTAGGGCAGTGTGGAGATGAGGGGCACATGGGACGCAGGTCCCTCTGCTACAAGCTTGACTGCCATCGGAAGCTGGGAGACACCAAAGGGTGGCCCCAGGGGCTCTCTGTCATCTTATGGTGACTCAAAAAATGCACATTCCTGCATTGATAACAATGGGTATTTTTATTACATGAAAATCTATGTACTTACTATTTGTGTTCTTCCCAACATTCAACTGACTTTTCTACCTGATGCAAAATGCAGGAGGGCTGTTCACGACTTCTTCCTCTCTTCCTCTTCTCCTCCTATTCTTCCTCTTTCTTCTCCTTCCTTCCTCCTTCCCCTCCTACTGATGTTTTTATTTCTATCAACAAAAATGAGAAAAATCACTTTCAGTTACAAAGTAAGTCTGAAACTATATCAAAATAATTTAGATCTTTAGTAGATTGAGAAAAAACACACGAACTTTTTCAACTTGCAGGAATAAAAATGTCAAGATTATTAACTCTTCTTTATTTTTAGTGAACTATAAAACGGTTTATTGATAATTTCTGTTGAGCAAGATGACTTCAGAGTTTATATCATCTAGGCCTTAAGATTTACTAGAATTTTAATGTATCATTCTAAAGATGTGCTCACAGAATACCCCTCAGTGTTGCTTGACCGATAAGGGTACACGCTACAAACACGTGGAGAAAAACGTGCAGAGCTGTTCGTGCAAGAAATTAGTGGCCATTTAAATTTCTCACTTACCAACAAATTAATAGATTCCTTCATCCTAAAGAGTGCAAGTGTATTTTAGGTCCATGCCATAAATATTTAAAACTATCTCATCTTACTGAAAATTTATATAACACATGACCTTTGCAAAATTGCAACCTTTATTCTTCAAGCAAAACTTGGTTTCTGCTGGTCACCACAATGTGCTTCTTTTGGACACCATGTATAACTGAGATTGAATTGTAACTGTTAGCAGTGGAGAAAGCCTGCGGCAAATCAACTCAATTGAATTTTGTGTTCACAGATGCTTTGAGTTTTACAGAGTCTTATATTCCATTTTCAAGTGCATCATTCAGGACACAGGCCCATTTTCCATATCCCAGATCACCCAACCAGTCCAGGGCTATTTCAGAAACTTTCCTGAGCATATAATATAGACCAAAGCTAGGTTGTAAACTAAGTATAAAATTCTAAGCCCCCCAACCAACTGAACAGAAACTTCTTGGCCAAGAGGACCCCAGAGAAAACTGAAAAGCTGTTTCTGGCCCTGAAAGAAAGGGAGGTCAGACACACCTCATCATACCTCCTCTGTTTTGGAGTTTGGACTCAACAAGTAACCAGCAGCGGTGTTAAAATAGAGATCCTAAGACTGACAGAACAGACCCCGTGTGGCCATAAGATAACAAATTATGAACAAGCCCTAAGGCCATGCAAGGCAGGTGTAAGTCAGGCCTGCAGGCCATCAGGCTTGCTAACCAGGGCATTTTATTGTGGCTGACTCTGACAGAGCATTCTTACCTTCCTTTCTGTCAACTCTAAGCTGTAGACAGGGCCTTACTCCTTTAACCAATCACAAACCAGAGAATCCCCAAGTCCACCTACAACCTATAAGACCTCTCCTGAAGATAATCCCCCTTTCTGAACCGAACCAGTGTATACCTTCCATGTGTTGATGTCTTTGCCCGTAACTCCTGCCTCCCTGAAATGTATAAAACCAAACCAACCCGGCCACCTCGGAACCACTTACTCAAGCCTTCTTGGTTGCGTGTTTTCTCCAGGCCTCAGTCACTCATATTGGTTCAGAATAAACCTCTTTAAAATATATTACAGTTTGTTTTATCCATTAACAAAGTCAAGCAATTAGTTCTTAGATCTGAAAATATAACTATTACTGCACTAAAATAGATTAATGAAAGAGGATATACTAGATACAGGAATATGAATAGCACAAAATGTGGCACATTTGTGGAACACAGAAAAGGGATTCTATGAGTTAGCCAGTTAAAATAACTAAGGCCATGGCCATTTCACATCCCAGGTCCAGAATTTGAAAGATCAAAGTATCTCCATAAAAAATATATATTTTCCCCTTCGTGCTTGAAGATGCAATAGGCAATGTTATAGTAAAGTCAGGAAACATGAGTCTGTCTTATTTCGTTTCGGACCCTGAGTTGGCTGTTTCACATCTTTCCACCAATTCACAGGCGTGACTTTAACTATCACTCATACCCTGTACTTTTTTTTTTTTTTTTTGAGACGGAGTCTTGCTTTGTTGCCAGGCTGGAGTGCAGTGGCGATCTTGACTCACTGCAACCTCCAACTCCCAGATTCCAGCGATTCTCCTGCCTCAGCCTCGCAAGTAGCTGGGATTACAGGTGCATGCCACCATGCCCAGCTAATTTTTGTATTTTTAATAGAGACAGGGTTTCAGCGTACTGGCCAGGATGGTCTCGATCTCCTGACCTCGTGATCCGCCCGCCTCAGCCTCCCAAAGTGCTGGAAATAAAGGAATGAGCCACCGCAACTGGCCGCCCTATTTACTTTTAAATATATATTTCTAGTCCAGACTTTTCTTCCACGCCCATACTTGAATATTCATGCATCTTCTGAATTGTTTCCACTTGGATTTTTCTCAGACACCTAAGATTCAGCCTGTCAATTCTATCCATCATTCTTCCAAATCCTCTTCCTGCCCCTGAGCTCCCCCTCCCAATGCCTAGCAGCATCATTCCCTCCTGACACTTCCTTCTTACCACCCCCCCACCTATGCCCTCCTGCCACAATTAAGTTCTGTGAACCCATTTTCTTAAAAACTCTTTAATTCTTGAATTCATATCATCATGACTTCTCACCTTCGCTATTGTAACAAAATTTAATGATCTCCCTGCTTCTATTTTTTTGATTCCCTCTCACATTTCCTTCATAGCAATCTTTTAAAATTTAAATCTAACCCTGTCACCTTTACTTTAAAATCCCTACAAGGCTTCTTACTGCTTTCAGAGAAAAGTTTAGGCTTCTTAGTTCAGCATAGAAGACATCTGTTGGTTAAATGTTGAGTAAATTAAACTTTGAGGTTTTATTAGGTAAATTAAAATCCTTTAACCTCTAAGAACTCTAGCATCCTAGATGCAATACCAAATCCTCTATCTAGTACTTCCACCAGGGCACCTCCCTCTGCCCATATACTGACCCCATCCCAACTACTTAACAACCCATAGGTTGTCATAAAGAAAACAGAGACTGACAAGGCTTAGAGACCCTTAGAATACTTTTATAACCTCTTCATTTTCATAGTACCTTGAGTGCAAGCTGCTCCATCTGAGACACGACTCTTTAGAGATGAAGCTAATCAAATCAGTACATGTTCAGCCCCCTTGCTATCCAGCTCCTCACCATACCATAACACTCCACATGCCATAACCAGTGCCTACCCCTTCACAAGTACTTGGCAAGGGGCAAAATAAGAAGATTTTGATACCTTCTAGAGAAGACTAAAATCATCACCATGCCCAGTCAGGTTTTTCATCTGTTCTTCTGAGGGCAGCTGCAAGAGGTTGCCTAAGAGACTTTATCTGCATAGTGACAGCCTTTGTTCAGTGCAATTCCACCCCTCACCTTCCCATAACTTGTCCTGTTCAAATTCCAAAGAGAATAATTTATAAACTAATTTCTGTCTCCCAGGCCCATTCAGTTCTCCTGAAAAGCATTTTACTATTCCTCAAAATTACCTGCACACTAATCTCCCCTCTTCCCTACAAAAAGAATGCTATTTAAGCCTCAGCTGTATGGCCCTTCTTTGAGTCTCATATTTATAGGGCTCGCATTTTCATGTACATATTAGCAAATCTGTGTGTGTTTTTCTCCTGTTAATCTATCTATTGTCAATGTATTTTGGCAGGATAACTCAGTTATCACACCTCCAGAGGAAAAGTTTAAACTTCTCTACATGTATTACTCACAATTTTTGCCATGGTCTCCTAATCATTCCAAAGTCTATGTGCCTGCATGATTCAAATAAGCTTGATTCTCTCCTTGCTTGGCACACAATGGAAAAGAATCTATAACTCATATTAATAAGTTTCATTTGTAAATGGGAATCATAGAGACCTTTAAAACCAGCCCTAAATGTGAGGCATTAGATCAATCTAGAGTCATTTGCATTCTAATAGGTCAAAGTTATCTCAATGCTGTATTAATACGTTTTACCATATTTAAAGAAGAACATAAAAATGGAATTGCATTCCGATTTTTTTCATTAAAGTTAATTTAACCAAATTTCATAGCTTAAAGGCACACAATTCAACTATCTAGATGTAACAGTGAAATACAGTTTCTGAACTGCTTTGACTAGTAGACAAGATATATTTCTTAATTCCACTTTTATTTTACTTATTTAATCTTCAGGCTATACAACAGTAAGGAACAAACAATGACATTCTCATCTCAAGGCACAAGCATTTATATTATCATTCCCAGTGGGGATGTTGCAGAAGCAAGTTTTAGGTTAACAAGATTTAATTTGTTTTTACTTCTTTTGAAATCAAATCATAGGGTTTTTTAAAAATAAAATGAGAAGTATACGGAAATAAATCATATATAAAGTTATAGGTTAGACATTGAGCTCAAATGTTAAATAAGACAGAATGAGAAAATCAATTCTCCCCCAAGATTAAGAAAGGTGAGAAAAATGTACCAGCACTAGGAGGATGGTAGGGACAGGCTTCCTCCTGCTTGGTTTTATGTATTTAACAAACCTGTCTTGGCTACTATGTGCTAGACATTGATCTATGCACTTTAGAATATTAATTCACCTTTATAGAAACCAATGAAGAGGTTTAGATATTACTATTTTATCCATTTTTAAATGGGAAAAGGAAAGCCATAGAGATTAGGAGACTTTCTTCAAGTCACGTGCTTAATAAGTGGTAAGTGGCAGGGCAGGGATCAAATCCCAGGTGTCTGGCTTCAGAATTGTCTCAGCCACTGGGCCATGCTGCCTTGGTATCCCTTTATAAAATCACTAACTGGGCACAGAAAATACATCTGGGTATGGGATTTGCAAATGTTTTCTCCAAGTCAGTAGCAAGGCTTTTCATTTTTGTTTCGGTGTCTTTTGAAATCCAATTTATTAATTTGTTATTTTACAGATTGTGCTTTCGTTGCCTTAGCCAAGAAATATTTGACTAACCCGAGGTCACAGAGACTTGCTTCTGTTTCATTCTAGAAGTTTTATAGTTTTAACTTTTACATTTAGGTCTATGAACCATTCTGAGTTCATGTTTACATATAATGCAAGGTAAGGACCAAAGTTCATTTTTTTTTGTATATCTAAAAGTCCCAGTACCATTTGTCACACGGCTCTCCTTTCTCCACTGGACTGCTTTGGTGCTTTTGTTGAAAAATCTATTCTCCATATACATGGGGTTCAAGAAGTATTTTTATCACATTTTATAGGAAAATGGAGGTGTTGGTGAAAAAAGCCAAACTCTGTAGAATATTTAAAGAAGTTTATTTTGTGTTGGGAACAAGCCCCCCAAAATCTGGTCATAAACTGGCCCCAAAACTGGCCATAAACAGGATCTCTGCAGCACCGTGACATGTTCATGATGGCCATAATGCCCATGCTGGAAGGTTGTGGGTTTATGGGAATGAGGGCAAGGAACACTTGCCCCGCCCAGGGCAGAAAACCACTTAAAGGCATTCTTAAGCCACAAACAATAGCATGAGCGATCTGTGCCTTAAGGACATGCTCCTGCTGCAGTTAACTAGCCCAACCTCTTCCTTTAATTCGGCCCATCCCTTCCTTTCCCATAAGGGATTCTTTTAGTTAATTTAATATCTGTAGAAACAATGCTAATGACTGGCTTGCTGTTAATAAATACGTGGGTAAATCTCTGTTCGGGGCTCTCAGCTCTGAAGGCTGTGAGACCCCTGATTTCCCACCTCTATATTTCTGTGTGTGTGTCTTTAATTCCTCTAGCTCAGCTGGGTTAGGGTCTCCCTGACCGAGCCGGTCTCAGCAATTCTGGGCCAAATATGAGTGACCATGGCTCAAGGCACAGTCTCAAGAGCTCCTGAGAACATGTGCCCAAGGGAGTCGGGCTACAGCTTGGTTTTATTATTTAGGAAGACATAAGACATCAATCAATACATGTAAGTTATACATTGGTTCGGTCCAGAAAGGCGGGACAACTCAAAGTGGCGGTGGGGGTGGGAGGTGGTTGGGGCTTACAGGTCATAGGTGGATTCAAAGGTTTTTCTGATTGGCAATTGGTTGAAAGGGTTAAGTTACCATCCAAAGGTTTAGAATCAATAGAAAGGAGTGTCTGGATTAAGATAAGAGGTTGTGGAGACTAAGGTTCTTCTTATGTAGATGAGGTCTAATAGGTGGCCACCCTTAGAGAAAAATAGATGGTAAATATTTCCTATTCAGATCTTTAAAAGGTGCTAGACCCTCAGTTAATCTCTTCAGGATTGGGAAGGCCTGGGAGGGGAAAGATCTAGCTATGTTAATAGATGTTCTTTTTTTTTTTTCCGAGACGGGGTCTCACTCTGTTGTCCAGGGTGGAGTGCGGTGGCGTGATCTCGACTCACTGCAACCTCTGCCTCCTGGGTTCAAGCAATTCTCCCACATCAACCTCCCAAGTAGCTGGGGCACCACCATGCCAGGCTAATTTCTGTATTTTTAGTAGAGACAGGGTTTCACCATGTTGGCCAGGCTGGCCTCGAACTCCCAGCCTCAAGTGATCCACCCACCTCAGCCTCCCACAGTGTTGGGATTACAGGCCTGAGCCACTGTGCCCAGCTGGAGATTCTTTATAGATGCAAATCTTGCCCCACAAAAGATGGCTCTGCAGGGCCATTTCAAAATATGGCAAAGAGACATATTTTGGGATAAAATATTTTGATTTCCTTCTTTATCTGTCATGTAATATTATACTAGAGTTGGGTTGAAATGTGGTATCTTGTTACAAAGGTTGTGTTTTGTCAGTGTTATGATCTCTGTTTCAGTGTTAATGTTGGTGGCTTGTGCCTGAACTCCTCCTGTCCTGGCCTGACCTAGCTTTTTAGGTTTCTTTGGGCCCCCTTGGCTAACAGAGGGGTCCATTTTAGTCGGTTGGAGGCTAAGAATTTTATTTTTGGTTTACAAAGATGTCAGACTATTAATTAACTCACTGAAGGTCACACAGAAACTAGACTCCCATCACATCCCAAATCCATTTTTTCTCCGTGACTTCAGCAAGCTACTGAACTCTGCTTTTCTCTTTCCTTAAATATAAGATGAGAATGAGTTCCAGTCCCTACCTACCCGGCTGTCTGACCAAGCTCATTTCTTCCCGATTTCCTATTGATTGACGTTAGACAATTCAGGCCTGTGTCCTGGTTTTCTTTTTTTAAACATGAAGCCCCCATTCCTGTACCGAAGAACCAAAGTGGACCCTGACCAGGAGGAATTGAGGCACCTTGTAGCCTTGGCCTCTCACATTGCCTTTCCAGGAATTGACCTGAGACACCACAAATGGGTTATTCAATGGGAGATGCTGAAGTAGGCCCTGGAAAAAGACTCCTGGAACCAAGGCTGCCCTTTAGGAGCCATCATGATGGAGACTCATACAAAGGAGTAATCAGAAAAGCCTCTTTGCAGAGACACTAAGAAAAAGGGGTGGCCACTTGGAGAGATGCTGAGATGAGAAACCTCAGCTCCTGGGCCTCAGTCCTCTGTTCCAAACACTTAAGAGGCTGATAGTCAGCTGTCTCCTATATTTTTATAAGTTTACTTCATTTTTTACTAGAAGTTAGTTTAAAGGAGTTACTGTCTTATGATGAAATGATCCCTGAGACGAAGGGTTTCTGCAGAGATTAAATATGTTTAAATAAGGAAATATTTAGGTTGAAAAATATAAAATTGCAGATATGTGACCATTTTTAAATAAAAATATTTAAATAAAAAAAGCAATGTCATCTGCTTTAATCTAGCATACACTGCAGTGCTTAGCATGGTACCTGAGAGCATCAGTTCCTCACTAGCCTGGCCTTGTCAGAGCTTGTCTTCATTTGAAATGTTGGTATTTTGCTCATAATGAATTTTTTGCATTCATTTTGATATTTTAATATTATGTTAACTATTTATCTTAATGACTGAATTTTTTGGTGACTTCTCAGTTTTGCACACGAGGCAAATGAGGCAGTTGCTCACCTCAGTCCTGGCCCTGACGCAGAGCTCATCATTAGCTCGTTAATAGTGTACTTGTGGTTGGGTGCGGTGGCTCACGCCTGTAATCCCAGCACTCTGGGAGGCCAAGGCGGGCGGATCATGAGGTTAGGAGATTGAGACCATCCTGGCTAACATGGTGAAACCCCATCTGTACTAAAAATACAAAAAATTAGCCGGGCGTGGTGGTGGCCGCCTGTATTCCCAGCTGCTTGGGAGGCTGAGGCAGGAGAATGGCATGAACTTGGGAATTGGAGCTTAGCTTACAGTGAGCCAAGATCACGCCACTGCACTCCAGCCTGGGTGACAGAGCAAGACTCTGTCTCAAAAAAATAAAAAAAAGTGTACGTGTTTGTTGTATTATTGAAGTTACTCATGGAAAATAACTGGATTGCAATCAACCAGTCCTTTTGTAATCAGTGTATCTGATTCATTAAAAGACAGTCTTAAAAAGTACTCCACACTCTGATGATGGAAAATTGCCCACATATCAGTACTCACACAAGATATACAATCTTTTTTTTTTTTTTTTTTTTTTTGAGTTTCAAGCTGTCAAGTCGTGAAAGAAAGGATATATTTTTAGAATGTGGCTTTAGGGAGGAGTTGAAGAAGAAAAAACATTAATTTAGTGTCTGTTCCCTGCTAGGCACCGTTCAGGTAAATTACAGATGTTAACTCACTGAAACTCAGAGCTACTCTGAAAAGTGGGTGCTGTTACTCTCACTGCAGAGACAAGAAAACTGATTATAATGAATAAATCAAGATCACATAGCAAGTAAATGACAGACATGCAGTTTGATGATTTTAAATATTTTCACAACACCATGCTGTCTCTCACTTAGTTTAGAATAATTTTGTGTCACTCTAGATTATATTTTCACTTTAAAAATCCTAGGAGCCCTAGAGACTATGGTAAAACAATACCCTTTTAAATCAGCACTTTACATAATTCTGGGATTTATTTTTTATTATATTGTTCTTTTTTGAGATGGAGTCTTGCTCTGTCGCCCAGGCTGGAGTGCAAGGGCACGATCTCGACACTCTGCAACCTCTGCTTCCTGGGTTCAAGTGATTCTCCTGTCTCAACCTCCTGAGTGTCAGGCCTCTGAGCGCAAGCTAAGCCATCATATCCCCTGTGACCTGCACATATACATCCAGATGGCCTGAAGTAACTGAAGAATCACAAAAGAAGTGAAAATGGCCTGTTCCTGCCTTAACTGATGACATTACCTTGTGAAATTCCTTCTCCTGGCTCATCCTGGCTCAAAAGCTCCCGCACTGAGCACCTTGTGACCCCTGCCTCTGCCCGCCAGAGAGCAACCCCCTCTTGACTGTAATTTTCCTTTACCTACCTAAATCCTATAAAATGGCCCCACTCCTATCTCCCTTCGCTGACTCTCTTTTTGGACTCAGCCCGCCTGCACCCAGGTGAAATAAACAGCCTTGTTGCTCACACAAAGCTTGTTTGGTGGTCTCCTCACGTGGACACGAGTGAAACCGATAGCTGGGATTACAAGTACCCGCCACTATGCCCAGCTAATTTTTTTTATTTAGTATTTTTAGTACAGACAGGGTTTCACCATGTTGCCTAGGCTGGTCTCGAACTCCTGAGCTCAGGCAATCTACCTGCCTCGGCCTCCCAAAGTGCTGGGATTACAGGCATGAGCCACTGCCTCTGGCCTTATTTTTTAAACTGGGAGTCAATTGCCAGGCTACTGTATACCTTTGCATTTATAAGTCATAAGTGTTCATACGCAGCCATGAGGTGCTAGGAGGAAGAAGCTCTTCCACGGATTCATTCAGGCATTCACCGAACAAATATCTGAGACTTCATGCTGTGCTAGGCCCTAAGAAAATGACAGATTGCTCCTGCCCCACAGGACCTACTTACAACGTAGGGAGACACTGTGTGTTGAAATAATTTGCTGGCCACTTAGAAAAAACATTATGTTTGGACTCCTGTGTCACAACTCACCTCAAAACCAATCCTGGAAGCACATAAGAATTAATGTGAAAATTAAAACATAAAAGAGCTAGGTAAAAGTAAAAAAAAAAATCCTTGTGGCTTACATGTGGACTTTGTAGATATAATACTGAAAGCTAGAAACCATAAAGAAAATATTGTAACTTAAAAGTTCCCTTGACCACGGAGCTCTCTCACCTGAACACTAGTAAAGCACTGCGCAGATTCACAACTCATCCTGTCATTGTTTTCCTTATCAACACTAGCCCTGACAACTGTTGTAAAAACAAAACTTGTCAGCACAATTTTTAATTGCTGCAACTTTTCCATTTTGAAAATTCAGGTTCTGCTCTTCACAGTGTAGCATCAAACAGTCAGAGTTGCTGCTTACCATGATCTCACCAAGCCAAGGGGACCAAGCCTTCTTCCAACTTATTCTCCAGCCTACTGTGAAAAAAGTCATCAGGTAGCGGGAGAGAAAGTAGAGCACGTGCATTTCAAAGAACCTTAACTGGAGTCATCGGAGACTTCAGAACGTCTTGTCATGTTCTTATTTCCTCAGTAAATGCAGAATAATAAGCATGTGGCCACAAGCTTTGGCAATGAACACAGCCTAATCAAAGCTAATGCAAGTCAGGCAGGGCCTCCAAAGAGGCCCTGTCTAATCTTTGCACCGTCCTTTTAATACGTTCGAAGGGCTTCTACACATTTAACCCCAAGAAGCACAAAGGCAGGAGCCTAAATTAAGTTCAAGAAGACGTCTCACCCACCTTGAGTGACAGGTGGGTAGAGAGCACTGGTGACACTGTTGTTCCCTCCCCAACAGCCCCACAGAAATGCAAAGCCAGTCAGATCCAACCCCGACTGCTCATCCTCCTGTCTTTTCTATCTCAGTTAATGAAATGGCCATCTACTCAAATCCTCAAGCCAGAAACTTATCATTGTTTCTCTTTCCTCTCTCCTGGTCCTCACAGCTGTTCTACCTTCTGAATACAATCCATGTCTCACCAGCTCTAAACCAGACTCTGGGCTCTGAGCCAGCATCGTCTGTAGTGGGATGTAGTGGCCCCCTGAGGAGTTTATATCCCCCAACTCCGCCTACAAACATCGAGAGTGATCTTTTGAAAATGTAAATCAGATCATATCACTCCCATGCTTCAAAGCTCTTGAAATGCTCCCCGGCCACTTTGAATGACATACAAATTCCTAGTGGTGGCCTCTAAGACTCTACATGATTTGGTCCTGACTGGGTTTCTGACCTTTGTGATCATGTAGCTATTAAGCAACACTTTAACTGATTATTTGTAGAGGTCCACAATGGATTATAGAATATTATATATAGTTGAGAACAATATTTAAAAGAATATGTAGAGAAATACACACACACAATACACACATGCATATATACGTGTATATACACCTATGATTATATTTTAGAGAATGCATATGCTCATGCCACCATAGGAAGCACACAGGACCAGCCTCCTTGTTGTCACATACTCCCCTTTACAGAAAGAGCCCCAAAACAATTGTTGCCCTCTTCTCAGGGGGCATTTCAGAATCCTTGGGAAGGATATTCACTTAAACGCTTTCCATTTTGGCAATGAATAATATCTTAAGAGGGTTAGAACACTTGTCAACAACCACTTACACATATTTTTTTCCTAAACTTCATGCTCTTCAAAATTGAGAAAAAAAAATTAAGAACTATTCTTGTCTTCAAGAAGACAAAGAATACAGTCTGCCTGAATTGTGAATTCAAAGGTATATTCTCTCATTCAAATTACTATTTCTATTGTGTAGAATTTCTCCTCTCATTCAAAAGAAAGAAATGTGAATCTTCTCATAGGGAGGGATGTGTAGCATTTATGTTCTGGAAAAATCCTCTGTGATGAGCCGCATTGTGCATGTGATGCCCACACCCTTCTCAGGATGTGAATCGCAGAGTCCATCATATCAGTGAGCCAAGAAGCTTGGGTATGTTTGCCAATGACTTAATACACAAGAGTGTGTGTTTTGGAAATTATATCTAACATAATGTTCATTTTGGAAAGCACTTACTCTGTACCAGACAGTGTGCTGAATCTTATGCGTGAATCATCTCTTAGCTCGAGACTTTTTTTTTAAATGAGATTTATATTCTCATTTTACATGCAAGATGAATGAGCCAACTTTAGAGATTGAGCAACAGGTTCCCAGAAACAGAGCATGTACGGTCTATGCTCTGCCGCACCCATGAATTAGCATATATTGAAAACTATGTAGGGGCAACAAATGCACAGTACCCCATATAACTTGCTGGGGACCAGAACACGATACCTCCAAATATGGTGCCTTGGCATTCGAGGAAACTGCAGAACAAGAAAGTCACTCTGACCTCCTCCCACCTTTCTGTGTAAAACATAGTTATAAACGATTTCTCTGACCTTCCTCACCTGAAATTAAGTTGTAAGACCCTCACTCCATAGGAGCCCTGCCCCATTCCCAGGGGGAAGGAATGCTACTCAGAAAGGCCAAGGAGAATCTGAACAAGAGACCTTTCTAAGTTCCCCCCAGTTTATTACCATTATGTCACACCCTTTCATCCAATCATAGTTCTACATGACTGTTTATTCTATATCAAACCTAAGCATACAAGTACACGCTTTTCTCTAGATCTTCATTTCTGAAACCTCCTGTGCCATGCAAAACTTCAGTTAAATAAATTTTTATGCTTTTCTCTTGTTAATCTGTCTTTTGTTATCAAGGTGTCAGCCATGACCCTTGTGATGGGTGAGGAAAAGGTATTGCTTTTTCACCCCTACAAAACCCATAACATGTTAGCTCAGTCAGAGCCTTCCCCCTCAAAAAGTAACATGCTAATTTCTTTTAATTGGGTTCAGTTATGTTACCATAAAATATGGTACCTTGACATTTGAGGAAACTGAAGAAGAAATATCACTCTATGACTGTCCCTGATCCTCCTTCCTAAAAGCATGTCCTAAAACCTAGGATGGATTTTCTGACCTTCTCCTGAAGCAGGTCATAGGACTCTTATTTGAGAGGTTCTCCCTATACCCAGAGGAAAGGAGCATCCTTATCTCCGAAGACACAGGGACACAGAGAAGAACCTGCACAAAAGCCTTGCTAAGTTTCCTTCAGTGTGTTACCATGAGGTCTACCCACCTTGTCCAGTTATATTTCTTCATGACTGTACATCAAATGTAGCATAAGAAATACACGTTTTTTTTTGTTTGTTTGTTTGTTTGTTTTTGGGATGGAGTCTTGCTCAGTCACCCAGGCTGGAGAGCAGTGGCGCGATCTCGGCTCACTGCAAGCTCCGCCTCCCGGGTTCATGCCATTCTCCTGCCTCAGCCTCCCGAGTAGCTGGGACTACAGGCGCCCGCCACCACGCCCGGCTAATTTTTTGTATTTTTAGTAGAGACAGGGTTTCACCGTGTTAGCCAGGATGGTCTGGATCTCCTGACCTTGTGATCTGCCCACCTCGGCCTCCCAAAGTGCTGGGATTACAAGCATGAGCCACCGCGCCAGGTCAATACACAGGTTTTCTACTTCTTTAGTTCTTTATTTTTCATGAAGTCATGTCATGTAAAACTTATTAGTAGGTTTTATGCTTTTCTCTTGTCAATTTGTCTTTTGTTATAGGGGCCTCAGCCATGAACCTAGCAATGGCTGAGGAAAAGATACCTCTTTTCCCCTGCACTTTTAACTATCTATAACAGAAAAAAAAAAAAAACCTCACTTTGACAAGCACACATTGAAGTCTCCCCAGAGAAGGAATCAGAGCCGTAATTTGTTTTTTTCTTTTAATTTAGATTTTACTTCTATCCTAGATCAGTCCCATTCTTTCTGCTATTTCTCTGGTCCCAGACCTCTTTATTTTACCTCACAACTAGTTTACCAGCTCCCTTAAGGTGACCCATCATTAACTTTCTTTTTTAATCTTTCAGCTAGCCTATTGTCAACTACTCCCAAAGCCTGGAAAGAAGCTCTGCCCATTGTCACTCTCCTGCTCTTGATATATCTGATATTGTTTCTGATTCTGCTATTTTCTGACATGCTTATCAAAAAAGGCCTGATTTCCAAATAATGAGAAACACCGAACTAATATATTAAAACATGGAATTTGTGCAGATGCTTTATAGAGAAACAATAACATTCATAATGTCAATATTTGATGGTAAAAGTGAGGACTGAGCCTGGCTCATGAGGGATGCTGGTCTATTTCTCCATTTCACTTGGGATAGCCACACTTGCTTGGTTAAGCTCTTGAACAATTTCCTTGTGAGACAGAACCTTTAAGAACGACGTAGGCTAAGATGAGAAATGGAAACCAGCCAGTTCACTGACCTTAAAGAATACGAACAAAAAACCAGAACACCTGCTTGTTCTTTGGCAGGCACAGCAGCTGTGGTACACCTCTGGCTCCTGGCCTTCCCACCCACCAGCCATCCTAAATATACAGAACACAAAATTGGGAAGGGCTATAAGCGCAGTGAGAAAACTCACTTAACTCACTTAAGGCTATCATTCTTTCTCATGTTTTTTTTTTTTAATACAATTTTAAAATGTTCTCTTATGTAAAATATTAAAAGGAGGAAGAGATTTTATTTACCGTAAGCAGCTATTGAAGAAGAGAGAATGATTCCTTGTTAACTGGATCTTTTCCTTGAGAAACAACAGCAGTGTTTGAAGTCTCTGGCATCTTACTTGGGAGGCTGGTAACAGCTTGAATTCATCATTTCAAATAAAGTTTTCATTGAAACTAATTTTTTTGTTCATTAAACATAAATAGAATCCTATGTAAAAGGAGAAAGTATTTTGTTAAAAAATGTATCTAGTGAAAAGAATATTAAGTTATTCAATTCTGTATTCATCCATCCACCCATCCATCCATCCATGTACTCTCTGTATACATTTGCTGAGAACCTATTGTATGCTGGGCACCATGAGAGGTGTTAAGATATCGAGGTAAACAAGATGCATCTAAGTTAATATATGCTTTCATCTTTTAAAAGTCTACTTCATTCCTACCAAATATTTTTTAGCAACCCTGATGATCAAGCTGAGAAACACTGGTTTCAGACACACACACACACACACACACACACGAGACACACACACACACACACCACCCCCCCACCCCCCCCCGCCCCGATGTAACCCAGTGCAGACTCAGCTGCCCACCGCTTGCAAAGTCAGTAACAAGGAGGAAGTCTGTAGTGAAAGGAAAGTTACTTTGTTTCCAAAGCTAGCAGCAGGGAAGCAGGCTGCTTACCTTACGCCTCCAGAAACCTCTTAAAACTTTAGGCTGGGGAGAAAGGCTTAAAAAGGGGAAATTGGAATGGGAGGCCCGTGGGAGAGTGCATTGCACAAGGTCTGCTGTCTTGTTCTGGTGCCTATTTCAAGCTGTGGTCCACTTGAAGGGCAGGTTGCTGTCATCTCAACAATTGACGAGTTGTTGACAGCCACCTTGAGGTCATCACTGGGACTTTGCAGCGGAGTCTCCATGCTTGGTCTGTCTTTTTTTTTTTTTTTTTTTCTGAGATGGAGTCTCGCTCTGTCGCCCAGGCTGGAGTGCAGTGGCGCGATCTCGGCTCACTGCAAGCTCCGCCTCCCGGGTTCACGCCATTCTCCTGCCTCAGCCTCCCCAGTAGCTGGGACTACAGGCGCCCGCCACCACGCCCGGCTAATTTTTTGTATTTTTAGTAGAAACGGGGTTTCACCGTGTTAGCCAGGATGATCTCGATCTCCTGACCTCGTGATCCACCCACCTCGGCCTCCCAAAGTGCTGGGATTACAGGCATGAGCTACGGCGCCCTGCCGCTTGGTCTGTCGTAACGTTAGGCCCTGGAACTTCTAAATAAGAACATAATTAGATACGTTACGTGCTTAAATAAACTAGATAAATGTGTGTGGGGTATACAAGCATACAGCTAGATAAATGCACCTGGGGTAAAGGAAAACATGGTGAGAAACGGAAGGAAGTAGGGTTTCAAAGTATCTTTCAAGGCTATATTTTAAGACTAAGGAAAAACATTTCTAGAGATTGTTTCAAGGTTTCAACTTGAGACTGGGAAGAAAGGAAAAAGGAGAAAGAAGTTTTAAAGTGCTTTTTCAGGCAGGGCTGTTCGGTTACACTATTTAGGAGTTGGAGCAGCTGCCTCCAGATTTGTATGCACGCCTCTGCCCCTTTGTTTTCATGGCATGGCCATAGAACATGCCTTTGTCCATATCTTGCCCATAATCAAACCTCAGTTCCTGCAACTGCCCCCATAAACAGGCACTTATAACCCGCACATTCTGTGTGTCTTTATGTCAGCTGCCCCTTTCTGTTCTGGGTTACAGCTATTTACGTAAATGATTTTCTCCCCTCTACATCCTGTACATTACTTTGCAGCACAGAATCCCATCCATAGGTGCCTATCACAGTGCCCAGCACGTGACAGACCTCCATAGTAGGTATTCCATAAATATTTGAAAAATCACAAATTATTCTGAGAGGAGAAAGTGTGACATTGCTCCGGTGGCAGGACTTGTCTTGGAAAGAGAGGAAGAAGAAATTTTCACTCTGAAGGATAGGGAGAAATAAAGAGAAACTGATGTAGGAAACAATTTTTTTATTGAGAAGAGATCAGATACAATGATGCTGCAGAAAAGATCTTGCTGACAATTATTATTAACCACAGTGTTGTTGGTTTAACTTAAAAATCACTGTCCACAGACTTCCTAGAAAAAGGAACACAACATAATTGTATTTGGCAGTTCAGCCCCATCTTCTTCTTTTTTTTGAGACGGAGTCTCACTTTGTCGCCCAGGCTGGCTGGAGTGCGGTGGCGCGATCTCGGCTCACTGCAAGCTCCGCCTCCTGGGTTCACACCATTCTCCCGCCTCAGCCTCCGGAGTAGCTGGGACTACAGGCGCCCGCCACCATGCCCGGCTAATTTTATTTTTGTATTTTTAGTAGAGACGGGGTTTCACCGTGTTAGCCAGGATGGTCTCGATCTCCTGACCTCGTGATCCACCCGCCTCGGCCTCCCAAAGAGCTGGGATTACAGGCGTGAGCCACTGCCCCCGGCCAGCCCCATCTTCTTTAATCCTACGACCTCGATAGCTTTGCCCACAAAATATATTTACATTTTTTCCTTCAGTTTTCTACCTATTTTTCAACTCTTTTTGAAAGTCCTAAGACCCACTCTAAACCAGTTAATCATACAACCCATTGTTGAGTATCATTTATGTGACTAATTTCTGTCTTCCTTTTCATACGATTTCATGACGTTATATCTTACTGCATCCAAGTTTTATCTGTAGCTGTGTGTGCTGGCAGATAAAACATTAAATAAAATATGTGGCAAGATCTAAGTCTGTTGCCGTCATTTATGTGGGTCTTTTTCAGTGAAGTCATTAACATTTCTTTCAACATGTTAGCCATACACTTTTATTTATTATA
This sequence comes from Homo sapiens, assembly GCF_000001405.40. Lineage (NCBI taxonomy): Eukaryota > Metazoa > Chordata > Mammalia > Primates > Hominidae > Homo > Homo sapiens. The sequence goes on from NW_025791789.1 coordinate 389,084, forward strand.
ACTTAATAAATTCACCGATTTGAGCCATTGAGTCACATTTCTTCAGCCTATGGAACACATTTTATAGAGCTATTATTCTCAGAGTAATAAGTTCATAGAGAATTGGGATGGGCAGTTGAAACATGGGTTACTTAACACCAGGAGACAGAAAAGCATGAAGAGCTAACTCGTATGCCTCTGAGTGTGTGGTCACACTGAACATGAGGGGTACCAAGGGCACATCTCCCCTTGCGCGATTCGTCTCCTTTCTGGGGGACCTGGAGAAGGGGAGGTAGGTGAGGAGGCTGGTATGGCTATACAATGTTTCCCACAGTGAGAAGATACCAGTTCAACAGTGCTTTTTAAATTATTCCCCACATCACTTCACCTTTCCTTTTTCCTACCTGATGCCGTGTTCTGGGACAATGGCTGCAACTGCAGGTGCCACAAACAGGAATGCCCCTGAAACAAGAATCTGTAACTATACTTTTAAACTTTGATGTCACAATTTCTAAGAAACTGGTAGAGCAGATTTTACCTTCACCCTGTCTGACAAGGCTGGAATTGACAGGGAATTCTGCTGTACTGCCTAGTGGTCGAGACAGCCCGCTGGTTCTGTACCTATGTAACCCTGCCCCATGGGCATGGGAATGGACGGAGAGGCACTTGCTACACTAGTGTTGCTTCTGGCAATCTGAACCAGCACGGGGGCCTCACCTAACATCCCTTCCGAAGGTAGAAAATTAAAACTAACTGGCTGGGCGTGGTGGCTCATGCCTGTAATCCCAGCAGTTTGGGAGGCCAAGGCAAGGCAGATCACGAGGTCAGGGTATCGAGACCATCCTGGCTAACACGGTGAAACCCCGTCTCTACTAAAAGTACAAAAATTAGCCAGGCATGGTGTCGGGTGCCTGTAGTCCCAGCTACTCGGGAGCCTGAGGCAGGAGAATTGCTTGAACCCGGGAGGTAGAGGTTGCAGTGAGCCGAGATGGAGCCACTGCACTCCAGCCTGCGTGACATAGTGAGACTCTGTCTCAAAAAAAAATAATAAAAAAAATAAAACTAACTGATAACTGGAGAAAAGAAAGAATAATCGGTGAGAGTAAATAAATGAATAAATGGGTTATGCAATGAAAACCCAATATTACATTGGTACCTTGTGTATTAATTGTAGTTTCTTATTTCTATATTCTTGGTGCTCTGGCATTTGGCCCTCACTGACTGTAGAGGGTAAAGCTCACTCCTAGAAATAGCAAACATGGCCCAGAAGCACGCCTTTCATATGCAAACCAGACGACCCACAGCCCAGAGCCCTCAACTCTTTCTTTTATCACGCGCAGACATCCAATCAATATTCCTCTGCCCCAAGTCATCTGAGAGACAGGAACCAGACAACTCTGGACAGCCTCTATACCCCAGGGCCCAGCGAAATTATTCAAATAGCCAATGCTAAATCTGCTTACCTTGCCTCACTCATTCTTTCCCACAGAAATCACAATACAGGCTAGAGCCCAAGAGCCCACATTTTCTTCCTGCTCCCTCTGCCTCCCGACCAACCTGGTGCTTCCCCAGGTGGCCCTGTGTGGCATGGAGTTCCTCTACCCCACTCCCCCAACCATAACTGTGAGTAACCACCCCCTCAACTGTGAGTAACAAGCTGTCTTTTGAAGTGCCTTCATCTCCTGATCTTTTGGCCTCACTATACCTGCATAGCAATGAAACCTAAGTTTTAAAACACCTTGAGATGGCCAGGCGCCGTGGCTCACACCTGTAATCCTAGCACTTTGGGAGGCCAAGGTGGGTGGATCACCTGAGATCAGGAGTTGAAGACCAGCCTGGCCAACATGGCGAAACCCCGCCTCTACTAAAAATACAAAAGTTAGCTGGGCATATTGGTAGGAGCCAGTAAACCCAGCTACTTGGGAGGCTGAGGCAGGAGAATTGCTTGAACCCTGGAGGTAGAGGTTGCAGTGAGCCAAGATGGTGCCACTGAACTCCAGCCTGGGGGATACAGCGAGACTCTGTCTCCAAAAAAAAGTAAAATGAAATAAAAAATAAAACACCTTGAGAGTGGCTCAGAGCAAGAAATGTGTTGACCTAGAAGGAGGAAGCTGAGGCAAAATTAGTATCAATGGAGTTTATTTGGGCCAAGCTTAAGATTGCAACCCAGGAGCATAAGATTGAAGTTGCCACCATATACATTCCATTTAGCAGCAGTTACAAGTAGGTTTATAAAGACAAAAAATGGGGGACAGGGAGTGGGCTGATACAAACTGGTTTGTCAGGAATCCTTACTGCTTTACAGAAATAACATTGATTAATGATTCGCTATACATCCTTAAGCTGTAGGGTGTGGCATTATTAAGTTAATTTACAGCTGCTGGTGGCAAAAGCAAGCAGTTCCAAGAGAGGAATACAGAGCTCAAAGCAGGGAGGAGGACGTGACTGCTGCCTCATTTTAATCTCTCTTTGGGCCTGATAATTAAAAGGACTTGCATTTCTCAGATAAGAGTTCTTTTCTTTCCTCAAATAAAATTGTCTCTTAGGAAAGTTATGCCAGTTGCCAGAAAGAGAAGCCAAGACTACTTCTGCTTTTGGAAACTTACAAGGTCAAATGGAAGCCTGCAAACCTGAATAACCAAAGGTCATGAGGCCGAATATGGTAGAAAGTCACTGGCCTGAAATCAGTCATTTCTAGTAATCTCCGGACTAGTTTCCTATTTTCACATTCATGATTCAGTGCTTTGGGGATGTTTTCTTGTGCCTGCAACTTTTACTTTAAGCCCTCACATAATAGCAATAACACGGTTTATTAAGTCTATCACTATGTTAAGCGTTCACATTTATATCTTCTGCAATTGTCCAGGAACCCTTCATGGTAAGCAAAGGTATCTCTACTTTAATAAGATAGAACCTGAGATATATAGAGAAAATAATTTCACAAAGTCACAAAGCTAGCAAGTGACAGAACCAGAGCTGTTTTCTTTGAATTCAGGCTCTATGTCCTTATACCAAAGCCCCTCTCAAGAGTATTTGTTAGATTCTCAAGTCTAGCCAAACAACCTTCTGCAAACCCAAATGATAATAGAGTACCATTCTTTTTTTTTTTTTTTTTTTTTTTTTTTTGAGATGGAGTCTCGCTCTGTCGCCCAGGCTGGAGTGCAGTGGCGCAATCTGGACTCACTGCAAGCTCCACCTCCCGGGTTCATGCCATTCTCCTGCCTCAGCCTCCGGAGTAGCTGGGACTACAGGCGCCCGCCACCACGCCCAGCTAAAGTTTCATATTTTTAGTAGAGATGGGGTTTCACCATGTTAGCTAGGATGGTCTCAATCTCCTGACCTCGTGATCCACCCACCCCAGCCTCCCAAAGTGCTGGGATTACAGGTAGAGTACCTTTCTTATAGGATAAGTGTGTGTGTGCCTGTGTGTGTGCATGTGTGTATGTTACTCATTTGATGGGTACCACAGAGTTTTTTGAGTCAAAATGTGACTGGCAAAATGCTCTTAATTGAAGAAAACCACAGATGAACCATGTACAGTCTGAGACTCTTTCAAGTAACTGAAACAGCTCTTGTCCTCCCTTATAAGATCTCTGACAATAAACCTACCAATGTCTTGCATTCACAAAATGTGCTTTTTTTTTTTAGAACGTTGGTATGAATTGTATCTCAGTGAAATTAGAACCATCTCCCTCCTCAATTATGAGATTTGGTTGGTGACCACCGGTTTATTGTATTGATAATGAAATCTCACAATTAACTTCTTTTCTGATCAGGAACCCACCCGATTGGCAAACATTGAAAAGGTGGATGGCATTAAGACTTGCCAAGGATGTGGAGCAACCTAGAGACACACGTTGTTGAGGGAGTATCCATTGCCACAACCACCTTTGAATACAATATTTATTATTTTCATTCAAATAACAGAAAATATACATACTCTACCACTCAAATTTGCCTCTCTTAGTTTTGTATCTTGGAGTAGACTTGTAGAATCGGAAGGCACCATACATAGATATTTACTGAAATATTGTTTTAATCTGTCTAATCAAATGAACAAAAATAATTCAGAGTACATTATCCACAGAATGGATCAATAAATCATGGATATGCACCCAATGGAATACCATAGAGTAGAGAAAAAGAATACATTGCAGCTGTGAGAAACAATGTACATGAAAATCAGGAACATAATACTGCATGAAAGAAGTAAGGCTGCATGAGAGTACATGCAACATGCTTCCATTTATATAAAATGCAAAAAGGCGCAAACCTAACCAATTTAGAAACATTCTGGAGCATGGGAAGTTGCATTTACATACTCAGATGTAGTTTCTACAAATCCGAAATATTTTAAGCAGTATTTTTATTAGTTTACATAGCATATGTAACTCTGAAAGGGAGGCAAGTAGGCATAGATACAAAATAATATTCATAAAATCTATACAACCGACATACAATGACAACATAATGAGCATGAATGTACCGATTCAGTTTTAAAAGTAAACATTCTCGGCCGGGCGCAGCGGCTCACGTCTGTTATCCCAGCACTTTGGGAGGCCAAGTCTGGTGAATCACCAGGTCAGGAGTTCGAGACCAGGCTGGCTAAGATGGTGAAACCCCATCTCTACTAAAAATACAAAATTAGCTGGGTGTCATGGAGGGTGCCTGTAATCCCAGCTACTTGGGAGGCTGAAGCAGGAGAATCACTTGAACCTGGGAGACGGAGGTTTCAATGGGCCAAGATTGCACCTTTGCACTCCAGCCTGAGCGACAGAGCAAGACTCCTCAAAAATAAAATAAAATAAAATAAAATAAAACAAAATAAAAATAAACATTCTCACTTTCTGTAGTCTTCTGTGTGCTTTCACCCCTTTCCTCCAAGTAAAAAGAAACCCCATCCTCTATTTTATTTTGTTTCGTATTTTTACTCATTGGTGTGTCCACATCATTTTCTTGCTTTTTAAGACTGGAGATCTCTTTGACAACATTATGTTTCTTTATTTGCTTCCGGCCTTTAGAGCCTGTGCATACTCTACTTACGTGCATGCAGTTTTAACTTGAATGTAATATCTATTACATGAATAATGTTCCATTTCCCAATTCGTATCTATATTCCAGGAGTGGCACATATGTTAGAGCAAGTGCAGAACAAACTACATTTTTCATCACTGCACTTTAGACGTAAGTCACGTTAACATGTCAGGTATCTTGGCGGATACAAGATTACTAATGTCAGGTTATTTAACTAGGTAATTACAAGGAGCCTATATTTAAACTCGATTTTAAAAAGCACGTTTTAAATAAGAAAACTTAACAAGCCATGGGCTGAGTCCTGACAGCTGGGCCCCGCAGCGGCCACGTCACTGAGAGGGAGAGATTGTCTCTGTGACAGTGTGCACCAGGGCTACTGCCACAGGAAGCTGCTCCTCAGACCCAGCACATCACCTGCCGCAGGGAGAGTAGGGGTTGGTAGAAGAGTCCAGGCCCCAGCACCCTTCCTGCCCCAAGAATGTCTGCTTCAGGCTGCTTTATTCATCCAACTTGCAGGTGACATTTCATCTGAAAGACATGTTCTGAAGCAAAAAACTAAACAAATCATTGAACTAGGTATAAGATCTCTCCACTTCTCGACTGTTCTGGTATGACCACTTAAATTGTCACAAGCATAATTATCCAAATAATAGTAAATGTGTGGCTAAATTAAAATAGATAAGCACTACATCTTGATGAATGCTTTTAATCAATTCTCACTAAGCCAAAACAAAATTTGAAAAAAATTGTTTTACTCAATTACCCAAAACTGTATTTTCTTTTTAAATTGATGCATAATATTTGTACATATTTATGGGGTACATAAATATGATATTTCATTGCATGCATGGAATGTGTAGTAATGAAGTCAGGGTATTTGGGGTGTCCACCACCTTTTATCATTTCCATGTGTTGGAAACATTTCAAGTCCTTTCTTCTAGCTGTTTTTGAAATATACAATACATCATTATTAACTATAGTCACCCTACTAATATTTCTGTGATTGAACCCTAGAATGTATTCCTTCTAACTGTATGGTGATACCCATTGACCAACCTCCCCTCATTATCCCATCCCCCTGACCCACATGCCCTTCCCAGCCTCTCGTATCTATCATTCTACTCTCTACCTCCATGAGCATCTTTAGCATCCACATGAGTGAGAACCTCTTTAGCATCCACCTGAGTGAGAACATGTAATACAAAAATCGTATTTCCTACACATGTTCACTGTTTCCCAAATAAAACAAATTTTAGAGGATTGACATACAGTCGTGATATTTATTACTGAATTATTATAGCTTTGATATCAAAAACAAGAAAAAATACTTTGTGTTAGTTGACTGACTCACACTCCTCACACTCCTTTATACAATTTAGATATACACATACACACATACCATAACCACCATAACACACAAAAGCTTTTGAGCATTTCAAAGCATTTAGTTCAAATAAAAATTATTCTCAACAATAAAATTTTATTTTTCAAAAATGTCTAGGTATATATTTTTTCTATATTAACCTCTAAAGCTATGTAAACAAATTAAAATATGACTTAAAATATTTTGGATTTGTAGAAATTACATTTTAGTATGTAAATGCCATTTTCTATGCTCCAGAAACACTTATTTTTATTTTTATTTTTATTTTTTTGAGATGAAGTCTTGCTCTGTCGCCCAGGCTGGAGCGCAGTGACGCAATCTTGGCTCACTGCAACCTCTGCCTCCCAGGTTCAAGCAATTCTCCTGCCTCAGCCTCCCAAGTAGTTGGAACTACAGGCATGTGCCACCATGCCCAGCTAACTTTTGTATTTTTTTTAGTAGAGACAATGTTTCACCGTGTTGGCCAGGATGGTCTCGATCTCTTGACCTCGTGATCTGCCCGCCTCAGGCTCCCAAATTGCTGGGATTATAGGCGTGAGCCACCGCGCCCAGCCACTCCAGAAACTTTTCTAAATACAGGGAGTACTTCATATAGGCCAGCAACATTCCTGATTTGTTTATTCAAAGATGACTAAGAAGTTAGTCAGTCAACTTTTTACATTTTACGTGAGATTTTTTCTAGCTTAAGAATTGAGATATAAATGAGTTGGAACAAATTATTAGTATGGAATTACTGTTTAAGGATAAATGGTTTGCGAGTACTAAGTCATCAGTTACACTTGTGAGCTGGCTGACAACCTGGCACAGCTGAAAATACCAATTAATTTTCAATAGTCCAGCCCATCATGAGGAAAAGCAGAAATGCCCATCTGGACACTAAGAGAATCCCTGTGGGCTCTCACTCATTGCATTTCAATTATATTTAGGATGAGAGAAATGGCAAAATAATTAGACCTTTATGAAATTCAGAAATGTGTGAATCTTTTCCAAAACTTTATTAGACTTTAGTCATGCATCACATTCCCAGATTGGATGAGCAGCAGTTTATTGCCACATGGACAACTATCACAGAAAATGTTTAGTGATTGGAAAAGCTTGAACACAAAATGTATTTCCAGTAACTCTGATGGAATTGATATTACATTTGCCCACAAAGTTGTCACTTAGCAGCTTTTAGTGTTTAGGTAATACACACAAGTGATGGGGCAAGGCTCACTGCAGTGATGTAAGACCATAACAGGTCTTAGTTCCTGATGGAATCAATAGAGTAGCTGATAAAAGGGTGCTCTGAGTCACTCGGTGCCTCAGTCCATTTTTGCATTGCTATAAAGGAATATCTGAAGCTGGGAAACTTATAAAGAAAAGACGTGTATTTGACTCAGGGCTCTGCAGGCTGTACCAGAAGCGTGGCACTGACATGTACACCTGGAGAGGGCCTCAAGCTGCTTCCACTCATGCGGGAAGGTGGGGTGGAGTGTGCACAGATCACATGGTGAGAGAGGAGGCAAGAGAGAGGGGAGGTGCCAGGTTCTTCTTAACAACCAGCTCTTGCAGGAGATAACAGAGCGAGAACTCACTCATTACCCCCACTCCCCAGCACCAAGACATCCATGAGGGATCCGACCCCATGACCCAAACACCTCCCATTAGGCCCCACTTCCAACACTGGGATCAAATTTCAACATGAGGTTTGGAGGGTTCAAATATTAGTGACTGGAATGTGGATCATTACATTATTATTTCTTTAGACACATCAGTTACTCTAAGGATTTGCACCATGTATCCATATGAATTGATATCCCCATGGCCAATCCAGGAATGCTTATATATCTGCTCACAATACTTTTTTCAGGCTCATTAGTTCAATGCAATGTAACATTTAGAATACATCACAGAGTAGCATAGTAAGGAAAGGCCTTTATATTTTGTTCTAAGTGTGATACAAATATGCTGGAGGACTTTAATGTGAATTATGAGTTGAGAAGATAAATTGGGCAGCTGCAGAAAAATAGGCTGAAGGTGGGCAAAGGCCAAGGCAAGGATACCAGGTGGGGGCCATGTTGGCAGCCCAGGCAGAAGGAGATGGTCGCTTGATCCAGGGTGAGGGTAGAGGTGAAATGGGGTAAGACTTCAGAAGGAGAGTGAAGTCAGACTCTACAGATTTTATGATCAACTGCATGTAAATTTGAGAGAACCGGAAGAACTGAGGACAACTGTGACATTTGGCCTGAATGGGTGGTGGATGACTTGCTGCCTCTTAGACTGGAAATGCTTAAAGGGAAGGAGATTTGGGAAGTGAAAACCAGGAGTTCATGTTTGAACACGTTAAGCTGGACATGACATTGAGACATCCGAGTGGATGTATGGAGAGGGCTGAGGACTGTGTCACCAGGAGCTCACAGGAGAGGTGGTGGGAGGGAAATCCTGCAGAGACATCAGACTCTGGCTGGGATTTAAGGCTGTGAGAGAGGACAGCGAATCAGCCAAGAGCTGAGCCCTGAGGTCTCCAGCCTTGAGAGGAAGTTGTGACTTCAGCAACAGATTTTCAGTGTTGCTCTCCTTTTTGGCTATAGTTCCATTCGCCCTGCCTCTGCCCCCAACCACCTGCCCTCATGGGTACATATTGAGCAACAGGAAGAACTACTGATCAGATTTTTTTTAAGTGTAAAAACAGCAAAGAAACAACGGACCACTCCTTTCAAAGGCAGAAGCAGGGATGTTTTGCTCCTTGGTTAAGCTAAATCTGGACATGATGCCAGCTTCATGGCCCTTCCCTGAACCCCTACCTACTGATACTGAGGAGTTTGTACAGTTCCAAGAGTGTTTCAGTAAACAATCTTTTTGTGCAAGGTACAGTTACCTACAAGTTAACAGAAAACCCTGTTCACCTGGTTTAAACAGTTAAATCTCACAAGCAAGGATCTGGAAGAGAGAGCAGATTAGGGTCGGTCCGCTCCAGGGCCTGCGGTGTTACCAGAACCTACTATCTCCATCTGTTGGCACTGCCATCCCCAGCACGCACCCTGCCCTCGGGCTCGCTCCTCGCTGGTCCTAAGGTGACCTCACGTCAGTCAGGACAGCACCAGTGGAAGGAGAGCGGTGAACCTCTGCTCTCACTTTTTTATGTCGGTGCGGAACTCTTTCTCAGGGGCTCCCAGATTCCTCATGGCTCCGTTGCCAGAATTCGGTCAGAGGCTCCCCCTAAACCAGAGGTAATAAGGTCAGCATGACTTCATGGTGACTTTGCTCCTAGGCTGGAAATTGGGTCACCTTCTCTTAGCACACATGAGCCAAAGCAAGGCTCTGATGGCAAGTAAGTGGGGGTGGAGGCAGGGGCTCGGCTGCTGTGGAAGAAACAGCAGTGTGGGCTGTGTATAGCTTCAATTTCCGGGTGGGCCCAGCCAATGTGTGTTCCTTCTGGGAAGAGGAACATGAGGTCATTGTGGGGCAGGAAGAGTGGAGACCAAATCCATGCACCCTATGGAATACAAAGCAATGAGGAACGTGGACCAGCCCACAGCTAACAAGCTGGGGAGACAGGAGGCTGAGACCCCGGACACACCCGATCCCAATTGAAAAAGACACTCCTTTTAGGTGACAGATTCTTGGCTGGACCAAAATTTCTTCATTCCCCTGAACGTTCCCCAAGGCCCATCTGTGCACTTCCTTATAAAGTGCAGTTTAGCAAGAACCCTGCTAAGTCAGTTTAGTAAGAACTCCCCACCCTCAATATCTGATCACCGCAATACCCAATCAGGTTTGTCATCCTCCGCTATCCCCCGGTTGATACCTCATCAGCCTGGCCTGTCTTCAGCAAGAATCCTACCAGGGGTAGCTTTAGCCAGAATCCCCCAGCCCTGCTGTTTCCTCTTCATAATTTTCCACCCACTGGCCCCCACCATGCCCTTGGTTATAAATTCCCACTTGCCCATGCTGCATTTGCAGCCCAGTTTCTCTTCTCCACTCTGAAATCCCATTGCCATGGACCCTATACTTGTCTCCATAGATCCCTCCTTCAGGAAAGTCTCTTGTACAGTGCTTTAACGAGTGTACCTGAATATCATTTCTCTGTTATATAAGAGTGAGAAAAGGAAGCCCCACTATGTGGGGCATAATTGAAACATGGATGTGCGTGCATTTCAGCTGATGATTCATTCATTCATTCAGTAAGTAAGTACTAATTAGGCACCTAACTGTGTCTGGAAATGTGCTAACTGCTGGGCACAAAGATTATAAATTTATAGATTATAGATCTATAGGAAGACATGGATATATGTTCAGGTAAACATAGAGTGCCAGGGCAGAGCTCTGGGTAGGCCCAGAAAAGTGATAGACGGCACTTTCCAGTGGGAACAGGATCATGCCACAGAGGGACTTTGTGTGATCTATGCCTAAAAAATGGTTATTTCCATGTCAGAAAGTGGAGAGAAAAGCATTTAGAACATGTAAACATGAACCTAGGCTGAAAACTTAATGTCTACGCATTTTAACACTATTTCTATGTCAACTGCAAATATGTCTACAGTTCATTTTATGACGTGCAAAGACAGGCTGCCTTTCTGCTCAGTCTGGACATTAGTTGAAAAAATACCATGGAACAATACCTAAGAAAATCAGTCAATATTTGGCATAAAAATCAAGCACATCTAGCCCCATGCCTGCTGAGGTTGCCTGCCAAGATTCTCCCACAGAGGAGAAATTCTAGTAATTTTCAATGCACCACTGGCTTTTTTCCTGATTCTGCCAGAAAACATCTGTTTGTTCCACGACTTGTCAGTAGGTTTATTTCCTTTAATTTTCACTTTGTGGCATAGAATGTCTAAGTAACCGATGAAAGAAAAAAAACAGTTGCTGCCACTCAATGATAAGGTCTTTCTCTAGACCAGGGGTTCTCAATCTGGAGGAATTTTGCCCCTCAGGGGACATTTGGCAATGTCTGGAGACATTTTTGATTGTCACGACTTGGGTGGGAGAAATTACAGTTTAAATTGCACTCTTATGTTCAATCATTTTTAAATGAAAGACCTCTTTCTCCTCGTGTGTGTGTGTGTGCACGTGCATCCCCCCCCACACACGCACCCACACTGAAAATAAGGAGAGGTTTTCTATTCACACATCCTTCCCTTCTCTAGCAGGAGCGGGACAGAGCTATCCCTTGCCTTGGCTACCTGTGGTGTGGGTGCAGTCCCCTTTCTCGACTGGCCATGGGTTACCTTTGTGTGGCAGGTGTACAAATAATCATTCCTTCAAGGAGTGACTTTTTGGGATCTTTGCAAGATCTTACGAGCCCAGGGCCTTGTTTCTGCAAAGTTCATTGGCATGGAAGATCCTTCTCAAACTGACATCACATCTCTCCCCAGCTTCTGACCAAACTTCCTTCTGCAGAAATTCCCTTACTCAGTAGGCATTTTTGTGAAGATGGTGGAGCCAGGAAAATGGCTTAACCTCAGCCTCCTGCTGTGGTGCTGTTAACTCCATAGACACGCGTGGACCCTTGCCATGCCCCAGGCTAGAAATGGCTGCTCTTTGAAGACTCCTTTCTCAACCCTCTATGTTCTCTTCTTCCCTTTTCTCCAGCCTCAGCAGCTCATCTTCTCTGCCAACTGTGTAGCTTAGCAACTTCCCAATGAGGGACTCGCCCATTCCGAACTTTAGGGTTTAGGGTCCCAATCTCCAGGAGTAATCCTTTCTCTTAGGGCTATATCCTTTGGCTTTAGAGAGGTGAACAAGACTAGGATCTTTTCAGGAACATAGCACTCCCCAACTAGGTGACCATTCCTCCACCCTAGGTCCTTCTCTGATGTCCACTGTGGGACAAGAGTCTGGGAGAGGGTTTGTTTTCCCGAATTCAGACGTCCCAGCAAGCCTGTGGGAACCTGGGTGTCCTGAGAGGCAGCAATAACTGGAATGCCTTGTTCTCAGCTCTGAGCCTTACCCACAAATTGGCACAATTTTTTTAAAGTCTCTCCTGACACCTAATGCATCCTATTATTCACAAAAGCACTAATTGAAGAGAACATTGTTTTCCAAAAATGTCCAATGATTTACATATTCCTTCTCTACCTTTCACTTCGATTCAGCTATGTATTCATATGCAAAACCTAGAACTCTTAGAACAAAGGCTTTCCACTCCTGTCTCCCTCCATTCAGCCATGGCTGTCAGCAATCTGTCCAACATAAGAGGGACCAGAACCTTCTTCATCATCTCCCTCACAATTTCCAGCAGTTCCAGTTGGCCAAATGTGGTTCAAGACAACAGTTCAGCTTAAGGAACCTCTTTGTTAGATGTCTGATGCCTGATGCATGAAGCTTCCTCTCATCCTTTTTTTCCATTCTAAAATGTATGTACTTGAGTGAAGGGTGGAAGGATAGAGAAGTTAATATAGTCACATAGCAATAACCTAGTTTAGGTGTTTCACAGCTTACTTTTCTAAAAGTAGACAATCTGGCCAGGTGTGGTGGCTCATGCCTGTAATCCCGGCACTTTTGGAGGCTGAGGTGGGTGGATCATGAGGTCAGGAGATCGAGATAATCCTAGCTAATATGGTGAAAACCCATCTCTACTAAAAATACAAAAAATATTAGCCAGGCGTGGTGGCGGACACTTGTAGTCCCAGCTAGTCGGGAGGCTGAGGCAGGAGAATGGCATGAATCTGGGTGGCGGAGCTTGCAGTGAGCCGAGATCATGCCACTGCACTCCAGCCTGGGCGACTGAGCAAGACTCCATCTCAAAAAAATAAATTAATTAATTAAATAAAATAAAAGTAGACAATGCAAAGTATAACTAATGAGTGAAGGAATTTTTACAAGTATTATAACCTTTCTCATTATGTTCAGAAAATAAATATATTGAATAGATTTATATTTTTGTTCTTGTTTCTTACCTGTTTAGTCAACTGATTTTCTTTTTTTCTTTTTCTTGAGATGGAGTCTTGGTCTGTCTCCTATGCTGGAGTGTACTCTGTAGTGGCGCAATCTTGGCTCACTGCAACCTCTGCCTCCTGGGTTCAAGCGATTCTCCTGCCTCAGCCTCCCAAGTAGCTGGGATTACAGGCATACACTATCAAGCCTGGCTAATTTTTGTATTTTTAGTAGAGGCGGGGCTTCCCCATGTTGGCCAGGCTGGCCTTGAACTCCTGACCTCAAATGATTTGCTTGCCTCAGCCTCCCAAAGTGCTGGGATTAGAGGCATGAGCCACCGTGTCTGGCCAATTTATTTTCTTTTGAATTGCATTTAAATGTTGTCAGGTTAAAGTTTTGAAAGGATGGCGATTATTAAAAAGTCAGGAAACAACAGACGCTGGCGAGGCTGTGGAGAAATAGGAACACTTTTACACTGTTGGTGGGAGTGTAAATTAGTTCAACCATTGTAGAAGACAGTGTGGCAATTCCTCGAGGATCTAGATCCAGAAATACCATTTGACCCAGCAATCCCTTTACTGGGTATACACCCAAAGGATTATAAATCATTCTGCTATAAAGACACATACACATGTATGTTTATTGCAGCACTATTTACAAAAGCAAAGATTTGGAACCAACCCAAATGCCCATCAATGATAGACTGGATGAAGAAAATGTGGCACATATACACCATGGAATACTACGCAGCCATAAAAAGAATGAGTTCATGTCCTTTGCAGGGAAATGGATGAAGCTGGAAGCCATCATTCTCAGCAAACTCACACAGGAACATAAAACCAAACACTGCATGTCCTCATTCATAAGTGGGAGTTGAACAATGAGAACACATGGACACAGGGAGGGGAACATCACACACCAGGGCCTGTCCGGGGGTAAGGGAAAAAGGGAGGGAAAGCATTAGGACAAAAACCTAATGCATGTGGGGCTTAAAACCTAGATGACTGGTTGATAGGTGCAGCAAACCACCATGGTACATGGTACGTGTATACCTATGTAACAAAACTGAACATTCTGCATAGGTATCCCAGAACTTAAAGTGAAATAAAAAATTAAAAATTAAAAGATTTAAAAAAATATATACTTTTTTTGAGACAGAGTTTCGCTTTGTCACCAGACTGGAGTGCGGTGGCATGATCTCAGCTCACTGAAACCTCTGCCTCCCCGGTTCAAGCGATTTTCCTGCCTCAGCCTCCTGAGTAGCTGGGACTACAGGCGCACGCCACCACACCTGGCTAATTTTTGTATTGCTAGTAGAGACGAGGTTTCACCATGTTGGCTAGGAAGGTCTCGATCTCTTGATCTAGTGATCCACCCGCCTTAGCCTCCCAAAGTGCTTGGATTACAGGCGTGAGCCACCGCACCCACCGCAAAAAATGAAAATTCTTTTTTTTTTTTTTAAGATGGAGTCTCGCTCTGTTGCCCAGGCTGGAGTGCAGTGATGCCAGATCGGCTCACTGCAACCTCCGCCTCCTGGATTCAAGCGATTCTCCTGCCTCAGCCTCCTGAGTAGCTGGGATTACAGGCATGCGCCACTACGTCCAGCTAATTTTTGTATTTTTAGTAGAGATGGGGTTTCCTGTGTTAGCCAGGATGGTCTCCATCTCTTGACCTCGTGATCCGCCCACCTCGGCCTCCCAAAGTGCTGGGATTACAGGTGTGAGCCACTGCGCCAGGCCAAAAGAAAGAAAATTCTAATAAAAAATAATAAAAGAATGCAATGAACTGCTTCCATGGGTACTTAAAGTACTAAACCTGTTACAGTTCAAAGCATTCATTATTGATTTTCTTGAACAGATTTTGTCCATACAAAATATTTATGCTAATCTCCCATTCCATAGGTTGCCTCTTGATTTTGTTGATTATTTCCTTTGTTATGCACAAGCTTTATTTCACTTGTTCATTTTTGATTTTCTTGTCTGTGATTTTGATGTCATGTCCAAAAAAATCATTGTCAAGATAAATGTCAAGGAGCTTTCTCCTTCAGTTTTCTAGGCATTTTATGGTTTCAGGTCTTACATTTAATTCTTTAATCCATTTTGAGTTAATTTGTGTGTATTATAAAGGTCCAGTGTCATTCTTTTACAAAACACATAAGTGTTTAATATCCAAAATATATTAGAGACTCATGCAACTGAAATGCAAGAAAACAAATAGCCAATTTTTAAAAATGGGTGAAGGACACGAACAGACATTTCTCAAAAAGACATACAAATGGCAGACAAGCAGCCGGGCGTGGTGGTGGGCACCTGCAGTCCCAGCTACTCGGGAGGCTGAGGCAGTAGAATGGCGTGAACCCGGGAGGTGGAGCTTGCAGCGAGCCGAGATTGCACCACTGCACTCCAGCCTGGGCAACAGAGCGAGACTCTGTCTCAAAAATAAATAAATAAATAAATAAATAAGTAAACCAACAACAACAACAAAACAAATGGCCAACAAGCATATAAAAAATGCTCAGTGTCACTAATCATCAGGAAAATGCAAATCAAAACCACAATGAGGTATCACCTCAGCATTTCTTAGGATTGCTATTATTAAGAAAAGAAAACAAGTCTTGGCAAGGCTGTGGAGAAAAGGAAACCCTTGCGCACTGTTTTTGGGACTGTAAACTGATGTAGCTCTTATGGAAAACAATGTGGTGGTTACTTTAAAAATTAGAAATAGTGGCGGGGCGCGGTGGCTCACGCCTGTAATCCCAGCACTTTGGGAGGCCGAGTTGGGCGGATCACGAGGTCAGGAGATCAAGACCATCCTGGCTAACACTGTGAAACCCCGTCTCTACTAAAAATACAAAAACAAAATTAGCCGGGCGTGGTGGCGGGTGCCTGTAGTCCCAGCTACTCGGGAGGCTGAGGCAGGAGAATGGCTTGAACCCGGGAGGCGGAGCTCGCATTGAGCCGAGATCGCACCACTGCACTCCAGCCTGGTCGACAGAGCGAGACTCCGTCTCAAAAAAAAAAAAAAAATTAGAAATAGAACTTCCGTATCATCTAACAATGCCACTTCTGGGTATATATTCAGAGGAACTGGAATCAGGATCTCAAGGAGATATCCACACTGCCACGTTCACTGCACCATCATCCTCAACAGTTAAGATGTATAAACACCCTAAATGTCCATCAATAGATGAATGGAGAAAGAAATCACAGTTTGTACTGTGAAAGAAAAACTAATCTCGGGACCCCAAAATTAGTAAGCCAAGGGAAAAGTCAGTCTGGGAACTATGTCAGACAAACCTGCCTCCCTTTTGATTCCTAAATAAAATAGCCTACAAAGATAAAAAGCTACATACCTCCCTCACATTTTGCCCATAAGGAAATTCCTTGTGGACAAAGGACAGACAGAACTCAAAATCATTCCTCTGAGGCTCACCTGAGACAAATGCATATCTGATTGCTTCCTCTGCCCTATTGTTTATGTACAAAGCAGATTCACTGAGCCAGACTAAATTGTGTAGTTAGTGGAAGGCGTATCAAGGACTCAAAAGAATGCAACCTTTTTGTCCCATGTCTCTTCTAACCTGGAAGCCTCTTCTAAACCTGGAACCTGGTGGGGGTGGGGGGAGTCGAAGTAAGGTGGAGTTGTCCCACCTTACTGGACCAAATCAATGTACATATTACATATGTTGATTGATGTCTTATGTCTCCCTAAAATGTATAAATCCAAGCTGTGCCCCGACCACCTTGGGCACATGTCATCAGGATCTCCTGAGGCTGTGTCACCGGTGCATCCTTAAACCTTCGTGAAATAAACTTCCTAAATTGACTGAGATCTGTCTCAGATATTTTGGGTTCATAGTACATACAATGGAATATTATTCAGCCTGAAAAAAGAAGGAAATTCTTCCAGTTGCAACAAAATGAGTGGACCTGCAGGGCATAATGCTAGGTGAAATAAGCCAGACACAGAAAGGAAATACTGCATGATCTCACTTATATGTAGAAGCTAAAATAATCACACAAGTAGAAATAGAGAATAGAATAATGGTGATCAGGGGCTAGGGGTTGGGGTAAATGGGAAGGTGATGATTAAGGGGTACGAAGTTTCATTTATGCAAGGTAAATAAGTTCTGGAGATCTGCCATACAGCATAGTGCCTACGGCTAAGAACACCTTACTGTGTAATTAAAATTGCTAAGAAGGTAGATCTTATGTTAAGTGTTCTCACCAAACAAAATGAAACAGTAACAATAATAGTCAATAGGAAACTTTGGGAGGTGATGGATATATTTATGGCCATGATAGTGATGTTGGTTTCATAGGCATATTCTTATTCTAAACTCATCAAGACAAATACATTCAATATGTACAACTTTTAAAAAGCAGTAAAACAGAAACAAAATATTTATTCTAGATTTTCCGTGGCAGCAAAGGCTGCCCACTCATCCTCAGGTCTGTCAAAACTTTAGCCAAGTGAATGTGTTTATAACTTATGCAAATCAGGTACCTGAAAATCTGCTCAAATATTTTGATAAAGATAACTACAAGCCCAAGTTTTCATCTTTCCATTTTCTTTGCTACCCAAAATGTAAAAAAAAATCATCGATAAATTAGAGATATTGACACCAGTAACCAATTAGAATCTGACTCTGCCTAAATATTGGCTTTTCTCTCTGCAGTCTTGGATTTTCTTCACCATCAACGGCTCATTTTATGTCTCACGTGGGGTTGTTTCTCACAAAGAACCAAGTAGAAACATAAAATGTGGCTGTATTTGTGGCTTCTAATGACAGAGATTCCACATGCTATGAACAAGCTATCTGGAAAGGAGAAAGAAGAGTGGGATTCCCAGTGTTCACTGAGGGGATGGGGTCTTCTGGAGCTGAGGATGGCCTAATCTTGAAGGGTCTTCAAAGCCATGCAGAGAACCAAGTGATGTCATTGGCTTGAAGTAAGAGTCAGTGTTACAGACAACTAGTGAGACTCACAGGTGAGTTCCTCATGGAGATACTGCGAAGGCATCATCTTCCATTATGCCGTGGATTAGAATTTCTCCTAGAACTTGTCTCCAAAAATTGTGGTTCTTTCCTTGATTAACAGGTGTGTTTTTAAATTGTAGCCAGTTGGGATCTTATGACTGACTCTTGCTCCTTATTCACTCTGCCTACCAAGAACGCAGTACTAAATTGCTCTACTAAAATCAACAGCTGTAAAAGTTTTCATGGCCTGTCATTGTGGGTACCAACTCACTCTAGCTTTTTCTTACTAATCAATCCTCATTTTATCTTTGTCCTAATTTCCTTTGTTTAAACTTAGAGTGCATCCAAAGTGACATAAATTGTCTAATATTTAAAATGATATGGAATATAAATATATGGAAAAGCCTTTTTTTCCCCTTTCCTTTTTTTTCTTTTTCCTTTGAGATGGAGTCTCACTCTGTCACCCAGGCTGGAGTGCAATGGCGTGATCTCGGCTAATTGCAACTTCTGCCTCCTGGGTTCAAGCGATTCTCCAGCCTCAGCCTCCTGAGTAGCTGGGATTACAGGCATGCGCCACCACTCCCGGCTAATTTTGTATTTTTAGTAGAGAAGGAGTTTCTCCGTGTTGACCAGGCTGGTGTCGAACTCCCAGCCTCGGGTAATCCACCCGCCACGGCCTCCCAAAGTGCTAGGATTACAGGTGTGAGCCACCGCGCCCAGCCAGCATTTGTACTTCATAAAGTTAAAAAAAAAAAAGTTATCTGTTTATCTTTGTGCTTGTAATATAAATGAACCAGTGGCACTTTGGAATGCCACATGCAGAATGAATAGAAAAAGTTTAAAATATTGGTGCAGGAGGTCAATCAGAAAGATATATATCCATTAGAATATCTAGATATGAGATGATAAAGACATGGAATAAAGTAATAGCTCTTTATTTCTTCCCAAAAATGTTCAATTGCTCTCCTTGAAGTATATCCATTTTCTAAATACTTCCTCTTTATTCTCCTGTAATTCAGTAGGATTTAAGACCAACAGAAGTATTGTGTATTTCTAGTGTAGTCAGTCTGGATTCAAGTCATTTAGAATGTTATACACAGTTGGTTCAACCACCCTACTATGTCTGGAATTGTCTTCTCCCCAGTTGCAACTTTTCTCTCACTTATTCTCTGCCTCCATTGGGAACACAGCTGGGGTGAGAATGGGAATGTTTGCAGGGTGATCCAAACCAGGCCTGAGCATGGTTCTGCCATGGCTTTACCCCACGAATGCTCCAGTCACACCCACGCCCAAAGAATCTGTAGGGGACATGGAAATCCAGCTTAAAGAAGTGGCATTTATGTTTCTGCATGTTTGTTTACTAGGGATGTAACACGGCCATTTAGAGGAGACTAGCACTTTGCAGCAGGCTCCTTGAAAGAAGAGATGGACCCCTTCATCGCAGTTAACCTGCCATGCCAAACAAACATGTTCATGGGCATCACTTTCTCAGTCCAACAGGGCCGTTGGAGCACAGAAGCCAGGCAGACACAAGCGGTATGTTGAAGTCAGAAGTGGTCTGATTCAGGGCCAGGGTGGGGGTGATGTAATGAAGTGCCGAGGGCACAGACCTTAGGGAGACACTCACTGTCACGGTTGTGCAAGTGCAGCATCTCCTTAAATCTTGTCCCCTGTGTGTCTTGTCTTACCCTAGTTCCAAAACACATCTAACTTTTCAGCAAGAGAGAACAGATGTCAGTCATATAAATAGCAGAAATGAGAGAGCCAAGAAAAAGAACAGCTTTGTGTTGAAAAGAAGTGTGGTTAAGAATACACAGCATTTGAGGTAACAAGACTTCCTCCGGATAGGGACTAGGGTTTTCTCTGCATCCAGGCTGGGAATCCCGAGCTCAGAAGAGATGGTGGAGATGTAGGGTTCAGAGACTTTTGCTTGCTTTTCCTAACTCTTGCTAGCCAGAAACACTCTGCAGTTTCACTTTTTTAACCTTTGGATTCATCCCATTTTAGTCCTCTTCTATGCCTTAAAAACACTGAAGATGAGAAGATCAAACCTGATGAAAGTCATGTTCTGTTTTCTGTGCTTTCATCATCCAACATCAATAGACTCTGACGCTGTGGCCTTGTGTGGTGCGTCTGCGTTCGTTGTGAGTTTCAAAGCTGAAGAAAGTTAGTGGGTGTTGGCATGTTCTCACTCATAGGTGGGAATTGAACAATAAGAACACATGGACACAGGAAGGGGAACATCACACACCGGGGCCTGTCGTGGGGTGGGGGGAGGGGGGGATAGCATTAGGAGATATACCTAATGTAAATGACGAGTCACTGGGTGCAGCACCCCAACATGGTGCATGTATATATATGTAACTAACCTGCACGTTGTGCACATGTACCCTAGAACCTAAAGTATAATAATAAAAAAAAGAAAGTTAGTGGGTGTCTTTCCCACTCCTGTTCTTCAGTTGCGGTTTTTCAAAAGTTGGCAGACATGTTTGATAAAATTCTATCAAAGAAGTCATCATGATGACATTAGGGTGTCTTCCTTTATGTTTTTCGTCTTTATTCAGTGGTTGTGTGTGATGTTCCTTCTGCTCCATTTTTTTGTTTTGTTTTGAATTTCATGATGTACCATGCGGGAGTGACCCACAGTTCCAGATGATTGATTAAAACCCCTCAGGCTCACACTGCTCACTGTTGACACATCCCTTGAGTTTTGAATGAGATCAGTTACGTTCATCTCCACTGCATTCTGCCTTCTTGTCTTGCTCCCTTCATTATTTACTTTTCTGCCCATTCTTTTATGTTGATAACTAATCTGTGTTCTTTAATCTTATTACCCACACTAACACAGAATAACATTTTAATGTTCAATTTTTAAAACCATTCTACTTTAAGGTGTAAACTCTTTTCACCTGCTAAACAGAGCGCAGCCGTATTTCAGCTAATTAACCCACAGCATGTATACACCTGATAATTCAATCGCACATTTGGCTTACTGCCTTTTAAAGGCTGTCTTAGAGAGGGATTCCTATTAAAATTAAGAAGAGTTTTGAATTTGAAATATGATCAAGTCCTAAATGTTAGAGCTGGAGGAAAGTGTGTGCATTATTTTATTTGAACTCTTGCGTGGTATATATGGAGACCAAAGTGCTGGCACGTGCTCACTCCAGGTCTGTCAACTCAGTAGAGCCACTACCAGACTTCCAGTCTCCCAACTCCTATTCCAGGAGTTTAGCTCTGAGAAAAGAAAAACAAAACAAGACAGAAAATTGTAGTCAATGTATATAATGAACTAATTGTTCATACATTTATGCACAACATGTAAAAAGAAAGTACAATGAGCTTGACCTTAATTATATTAAATAAGTAGAAAAGAGTTCTTAAAATGTACCAAATGGCAGAATGCATCATACTGGAAAATGTATTTATTTAGTACATACCTAGGAGAAGCTTTTCAGAGAATTTGCTTAAAAGGCAGACTCTTAATACATTTTGAACATATTTCACAAAACAAGTTTATCCGAAGAAAAACTTATAGTAAAATACAAAACAGGACATTGTTAACAACACTGAACACACTGAGATAACATTCTATTACTGCTGCCGTGGAGTAGACCAGAAAAATCTGCTTATGCCATTGCCCATGATATTTATGATAATTATTTAAGAGAAGCATTAACTGGGGGAATGGACAGCATCTTATCTACTTTGTAATAGCAGCGTTTAACGGGATGTCCCTGGGTAATACAGAGGAGACACTCTAACAACAATTATTGAATCGATAGGATAAAAAACATAGAGAAACAGACGTCAAGAGCTCAGAACAAATGGAAGAGCAAGGGGCCAGGATGTAAGGAGATTAATAAGCTTTGGGGATTGGGGTGGGAAGTAAAAATAAATTTCATCTGCTTCCTCATTAATTTTCAGTAGAACCAACCCTGCTCATGAAACTGGATTAAGATTTCACGTGGAAACTATCAAGTTAGAGGACTTCAAGAGTGTCAGTGTGGTGATGCACTCACAGGACAGGGCAAAGCTAGCACTCATGTTCAACACTTGAGATAGTCTCTACTGGGAAAATGTGGGAAAATGTCCTCAATCCAATTTGAATGGGAACCATGTTGAGAATTCCTGGTACATTGTATATAGAAAAATAATTAATACTTCCTAGTAGGCATTTAATATCTTATAGATATTATAGTAGAGGTTTTGAATACTCATTTATGTCTGACAATATTCAAATAATATATTTAAAAATAGCAGCTATAATTTATTGCCCGTGTGCCCAGACAGTGGACAGTGTACCAAGAAGCACTGTAATCAATATTTTATATGAATAATCTGATTTATTTTTCTCACTAAACTCCATGAAATATTTTATTCACTTTATTTTGAAGAAGAGGGATGAAACAGTTGCAAAGTAAAACTTTAGGAAGCATCTATTTGTTTATAAATGTATCACAAAGATATTCAGCCCACACTCAGCAGAAGTTTGAACCACTGGGGGACAAGATGAGAAGATCTTTCATTTTGAGACGTGTCCAGGAGCATTTCCCTGGACTGTGAGAAGAACCATGCTGCCTGTCTGTGCTGGGGAGGCCAGAGTTTGTCTGAACCATGAACTTGCCAGGTGCAGGCCTAGGGCTACACTCAGAGCACTCTCCAGACAGGAGAGAGAGCAGCCCTGCTCTGCCTGAACTCTGCCCAGCAGCATAGTCCAGCTGTCCCAAGAGTGCAGCTCTCAACAGTTATTCCTCCTAATGCTGTCACTGCTTTTCCAAGTGTTGGTCCTTTGGAAATTAGTTCCTGCTGTCTTATACACTTGAAGGCACATGATTTTATTTCTATAAAGAGAGGCAAAGTATAGAGTTTATACCTAGTTAAGTTGGCTTTTTCTCCAATTAATTTCACTTAAACTTTATTTTGTACTAGCTTCGTATTAAAATAAATAACTGTTTCTGGAATTTTTCACACTCAGAAAAAAATGGCATTCATATTAGAAATAACATTAGAGTATTTTGATTTAAAATAGTTTGAAACTACATTTTATTAAAATATTTGAATCCTTTAAGGCACAGCCTAGCACCTTAATAAAAAAATTGAATATCTCCCAATATTGCTGGTTATGCAACATAAATGAATAAAAGCTTACTGTAAGAAAAAAAATTCAACTTTTAGATTCAGGGGATACATGTGCAGATTTGTTACATGGGTATAGTGTGGGACTCTGAGGTTTGTGTACAAATGATCTTATTACTCAGGTAGTGAGCATAGTACCCAATAAGTAGCTTTTCAACCCTTACCCTCCCTCCTTCTCTCCCCCTTCTAGGAGTCCCAGTGTCTTTTGTTCCCATCTTTATGCTCATGTGCACCCAATGGTTTGCTCCCATTTATATGTGAGAACATGGTATTTAGTTTTCTGTTGCTTTGTTAATTCACTTAGGGTAATGGCCTCCAGCTGCATCCATGCAGCTGCAAAAGACATGATTTTTTTTTTTTTTTTTTTTTGGACGGAGTCTTGCTCTGTCGCCCAGGATGGAGTACAGTGGTGTGATCTCAGCTCACTGCAAGCTCTGCCTCCCAGGTTCATGCCATTCTCCTGCCTCAGCCTCCTGAGTAGCTGGGACTACAGGCACCCACCACCATGCCCGGGCTAATTTTTTTGTATTTTTTAGTAGAGACGAGGTTTCACCGTGTTAGCCAGGATGGTCTCGATCTCCTGACCTTGTGATCCACCCGCCTTGGGCTCCCAAAGTGCTGGGACTACAGGTGTGAGCCACCACACCAGGCCGATTTTGTTCTTTTTTATGGTTGCATAATATTCCATGGTGTATATGTACCACATTTTCTTAATTCAATCCACTATTTATGGGCACCTAGTTTAAACCAAAACAGCATGGTACTGGTACAAAAACAGATACATAGACCAATGGAACCGAAGAGAGAACCTAGAAATAAATCCACATACCTACCACCATCTGATCTTTGACAAAGTTGATGAAAATAAGCAATGAGGAAAAGACTCCCTATTCAATAAATAGTGCTGGGATAACTGGTTAGCCATATGCAGAAGAATGAAACTGGACCCCTACATTTTACCATATACAAAAATTAACTCAAGATGGTTTAAAGATTTAAATGTAAGACCTCAAACTATAAAAATCCTAGAAGAAACTTTAGAAAATATCATCCTGGGCTGGGCGCGGTGGCTCATGCCTGTAATCCCAGCACTTTGGGAGGCCAAGGCGGGCGGATCACGAGGTCAGGAGACCGAGACCATACTGACTAACACGGTGAAACCCCATCTCTACTAAAAACATAAAAACAAAATTAGCCAGGCATGGCGGCGGGCTCCTGTAGTCCCAGCTACTCGGGAGGCTGAGGTGGGAGAATGGCATGAACCCGGGAGGCGGAGCTTGCAGTGAGCCGAGATCGCGCCACTGCACTCCAGCCTGGGTGACAGAGGGAGACTCTGTCTCAAAAAAAAAATAAAAATAAAAATAAAAATAACTAAAAATAGAACCACCATTGAACTCAGTAGTCTCACTACTGGATGTCTACCCAAAGAAAAAGAAATTGTTTTATAAAAAAGACACCTGCACTGGTTCGTTCATCACAGCACTATTTACAATAGCAAAGACATGAAAACCTGCCATGTTTGTTTTATGTTTTTGGAATCAGAAACACCAATCAGTCAGGGCCCTTTCTCTGCACTGTTTCTAATCATCCATCCCCATCATGGCAATACAGCCTCATCTGGCCCCAGTAACCTCCAGTTTTCACAGAGCTTCTTTTCCCATGTATCCCCTCTCATGAGAGGCTCAGCGTTAAATTCAAATGCTCTGCGTTACTGCCCACCTCCTTTGAGAGGGAAGATAGCATGAGCTCATTGAATCCTCTTCTGCGGGGTGGCCCAAAACCTGAAAATATTACGGAATATCCATAATAGGTGATTTATTGATACACCATTCCAGTTCGTGATATTACATGACATGAGATACGTAATGGTGTTGATCTGCAATAGCAACAAAAAGTCCAAGATACTGTGCAAAACTACAGTCACCATGGTGCCTTAAGACACACCTTCATCAACCCCTCAGATGTTCCCCATTGAGACATTGCCTCAGATGATTGGTGCCTCTGATTTTCATTGAATAAACCCGCACTTTTTGCATATTCCAGAGAAAGTAATCACGAGGGTTCCGAGCTGAGGAGCATGCAGCCCACTCCTCAGGGCTACATTGTCCATCTCAGTTTTGGAAATTACCAACCATCTGGTTCCTCCCTCCCTTGAAGGAACGGGTGGTATATCTTCTGCGGGAAGCACTCCAGGTGGTGTCCCTTAGCTCATCAACAATGAGTGTTATTGCAACTTAATATGTGAAATATATTAAACACTTGTTTATTTTTCCAAACTTTTGTCCACCCTGTGTTAAGTAGAATGCCCATCTGATCAATGAAGTTCAATCATGATTTTCCAAGTAAATGAAAGACTCAGTGAGTTAGTTCAGCAGTCAGCCAATTCATCAGAAGGCAAGGTCTGTGTTTCTTCCATAAAAGTTAGACCTAAGGGGTAACAGAACTGGACCCATTCATTAGTGAGTTTTATGAAACTGTTTTCATTATGTGTGGTGATGACCACCTCACTTGCTACCTCACAGGTTTTACATACGGCAGCAACAAATGCAGCACCACACTTTTCTCTACTGGTTTTTAACGTGCGGTTCCTGAATGAGCAGTGATAGCACCACACGGGAATTTGTTATAAATGTAAATTCTCAGGCTCCCCTGAGACCTACTGAATTAGGAACTCTAGAACTGGGGCCCAGCAATCTGTATTTTAGTAAGTCCTCCTGTTAATTCCGACATACTCTGAAGTTTAAAAGCCATTGTCTCACATCTCCCCTAGACAGATATTAGTGGAGAATCTTAGTTTTACACTTGGCTGCCCTCACACGGAGCTACAGTGTGATGACTGTCATAAGCAGTGGATTCACAGGCTACTGACCCATTAGGAAGTGCTCCATTTAATCTGAAAGCAAAGCTGAATACGTGAGCACACATTACACAGGAATTTATGCCCTGCAGCATGAACAACAACAACCAAAAACAAACCTAACTTCAAATGTTTAAGTCATTGGCAATTTAGCTGACTGTATGTTCTGAGGAATCAGGCCATGAGTGAGTAAAATATAATCATAAAATATTTGATAAAATATCCAATCTCTATCTTAAAAGCAATGAAATTCTGATATTTTAGGGGAGTTTTGTTTGTTTTTTCAAATAACCAACTATAGATTGTTTGGATACAGACCTTTCGTAATACAAAATAGTTCATTCATTTTTGAATATTTCTGCTTATTTATTGCCAAATAAAAATTGCATACATTTATCATGTAAGACATGTGGTATTGGAATATGTATACATTTTGAAATGGCTAAATTGAGCTAATTGACATATGCATTACATCACATACTTTTCTGTGGTGAGAAGACTTAAAATCTACTGTCTTGGCAATTTTCATCAGTATAATTTTTTATATTAACTATAATATAGTCACCATGTTGTACAAGAGATCTCTTGAACTTATTCCTCCTCTCTAACCTAAATTGTGTATCTTTTTTTTTTTTTTTTTTTTTTTTGAGACAGAGTCTCGCTCTTTCACCCAGGCTGGAGTGCAATGGCGTGATCTCAGCTCACTTCAACCTCTGCCTCCCAAGTTCCCACCATTCTCCCACCTCAGCCTCCCAAGTAGCTGGGACTACAGGCACCCACCACCATGCCTGGCTAATTTTGTTTTTGTATTTTTAGTAGAGACGGGGTTTCACTGTGTTAGCCAGGATGGTCTCGATCTCCTGACCTTATGATCCGCCTGCCTCGGCCTCTCAAAGTGCTAGGATTACAGGCGTGAGCCACCGTGCCCAGCCTAAAATGGCTAAGTCTTTAGGAGAGGAAGAGTGAATAGTCATTCCTCCTTTCATCTCATATTTTAAACAATACTTTCCTTCCTTAAGTTAAAAACAAATCTTTTCCCCCTTAAGTTAAAGATTTAGCAGCTGTCGTGGTTAGGACACAGGGTGATTGATGTGTGAGAGGAGATGAGTGGGAAGACTCAGGGTGGGGCCGACTCTTTTCCAGACTGCGTGCAGGTAGAAATGCCATCAGTCATCGCTTCCTCTGGACAGACTAATTTTTGTCTGTCTCTTCATAGATGCCCATGAGGTTACTCAAAGCCCCATATCGGATTTCCCTGCCCAGGACCTCTGTTTCCAGGACTCTTCAGCCCACATCTCTGACCCACCGTTGCCCTTGCACCGGGTTTGTAATGCTGATCACTTCCAATCAGCAAACTGTAGTGCTTGAGGGCCTCCTGTCCTCTGCCCTTGAGTCAGTCGTTTCCATCTCAAAAATAATCACAAGGGAACTGAGACACACAGCCAGTGTCTTATGACATCATTTTCCCCCTTCCTTCCTATTTCCCCACCAGGAACAGGCCAATATAGTTGCTGCTTATTAAAAGTTTGTGGGAAGAAAAATAAACGCAGACGGTAGTTTCCCTAAATCCTAAATGTTTCTACAGACTCTCTTTGAATTATCAATTTGGGAAGAGCGTTTAGAAGCTGGACCTGGAACTTTCCAGGAAGCTGGCTTAAACCATCCTTACCTGTCTGTCCACTACTAGAGCAGCCTCCAGAACATCTGCTTCAGAGGCCAGGAGCGCTCTGCGCAGCGGTGCAATCTTCAGGTTGTTGGCCCAGGAAATCTTCCAGGACTCGCCATTCCCATTCTTCAAACGCCTTCAGGCAGTGGCTGCATATTGTTCCCACTCAACTTGCCCTCCTATCTTGGAAATATATTTTCATTTTCTTATGCTTTTATTTAATTGTCTGTGTTCACGCTGTTTTACCTCAGTACGTAGCTGCAAACCTTGTAGAACGATACCATATAAAATAGTTAACATCCTCTTGGCAGCACTCTCAACCTCTCCATCTCACTGAGAAACAAGTTGACGTACCAGGTTGGAGATCAACACAAACTAACCAAGAAGCTACACTGTTCTAAATTAAATGTTCATCACACTTTAACCGAGATTGCTACCTAAGTAACTTTAATTGCTGAAGTTGCCTTCATGGAAAGCCCTCAGGTAACAGCAAT
Source organism: Homo sapiens (assembly GCF_000001405.40). NCBI lineage: Eukaryota > Metazoa > Chordata > Mammalia > Primates > Hominidae > Homo > Homo sapiens. The sequence goes on from NW_025791789.1 coordinate 417,473, forward strand.
TATAAAGGACACATTTATGACCAGGTAAGAGTCTATCCACATCAGCAGAGAACACAATGACTGTTGTTTAAGTACTTCAGTGTAACAGAAACAGGACATACACTGATGCATGCATTAAAATGCTTATCATCCATGACCTGTGACGGTATCTGATTTGGGCAGCTACATTTGGGGATTGGAGGGAAGGTGACTCAACCAATATGTGGCTTAATCGAGGCACGATAGGGTAGAGAAACACCCTGAAAGTCCAGAGTGAAGTGAATCAAAAGACGTTCTGTGATTTTGGGGGCACCAGGATTCTCCCATGGTCCCTGGCTTCACTTTGACACTGAAGTCCAATGGTTCTGATATTCCCAGAACATCTGTTGCAGCAGTTAGAATCACCTATCTTAGTTCTCCCTAATCCACAGCATGTGCCTGCTGAATTAACTGCTGTTGACATCGAAGTGCTTATTTCAAAAGACTCTTCTGTGTGCAAAGTTCAATCAGAAAAACACAGCGTAGACTTCTGCCTTCCTTCACCAACCTCAGTCTAAGGATAGGTTATTTCTGATCGAAAAATCTCCTCAGACTTGTGACTCCTCCAGTGTAAACAAATGTTGCTGTTCCTTTAGGACAAATGATGGATTGACTTTATGCTTGATGCTATCGGGCCAGAAAATACTTGCTTGTAAATGTGACATTCAAGGTGTTATCTTGGTCAGCCTATGGATAAGATGGGGACAGAAGGGCGTACCAGGCTTTCCTCTTTTCTACAGATCCTTTTTGCTAGAGCTATTCCTTTTCCTTGGGATCCTGGCAGTTCACCATCACCATTTAGTTTTCTAGAAAATCCATTAATTATCACAAATATTATTTACTTTCTCAGGGTTATGCTAGAATATTGTTTAAATCTGTAACAAAAGAAACTCAGGCTCCTTGTGACGCTTACATGTGTAACAGAGGAGTTTTGTAAAAAAATCAATTTGTAGGCATTGATCAGAAATGCAATATGCTACAAAGTTTACCTCTACTGTCTGATACCCTATCATTAATCTATAACAGGATTGTTTAAAAACTGTTACAAACTATTAGTACCCCATTCTGTAATCTCCCTCTCTCTGTCTCTGTCTCTTTCTCTCTCTCTCTTTCTCTCCCTGCTAACCCCATGACATTTATTTAGTAATGACAGCCACAATCACCCTTGGTTCTTTTGGCTGCAGTTTAAAATCAACCGTGACTGAAGGTAGGATTATTTAGCAGGAGAAACGTTGGCCTAGAAAATATGTGTATCCAGATATTTAACTTCCTAATGTTTTCCATTCATTAACAAAACTTATATACATTATTTGCCACGACCTATTAGTTTTTGCAGTCTGAGAAATAGAGACAAGAGTTATATGATCAAATCCCGACTGCCAGGACTTGAATAAGTTATTTAGAACCTCAAGTTAGTTTGTTTCTTTTAAACTTTTGTAGAATTAGCTGACTTTCGGGTTGCCTGTGCACATTAGAACAAAGGAGTATAAAATTGGCAGAGGAAAGACTAGAACATGAGGCAGCACTGTCTCATTCTTATTTACTTAGGGCACAGCCCAGTGACTTTAGGCACTCAATAATCATTTTGTGTATAAATGAATCAATATTTGTGGTTAACACTTTATAAATGTCAACTGTTATTATCGTTTAATACATCATTGAATGTCTTATTACTCTTAATAGAATTTCAAGAAAGATACAATTAAGTTAAATCAGGATTTATTTGGGATAAGCTAAGAATTATTATTATTATTATTATTATTATTATTATTTGAGACATAGTCTCGCTCTGTCGCCCAGGCTGGAGTGCAGTGGCACGATCTCAGCTCCCTGCAAGCTCCTTCTCCTGGGTTCATGCCATTCTCCCGCCTCAGCCTCGTGAGAAGCTGGGACTACAGGCACCCGCCAGCATGCCCGGCTAATTTTGTTTTTGTATTTTTAGTAGAGACAGGGTTTCACTGTGTTAGCCAGGATGGTCTTGATCTCCTGACCTTGTGATCCACCCGCCTTGGCCTCCCAAAGTGCTGGGATTACAGGTGTGAGCCACCGCGCCCGGCCATTATTGGCCTTAATTTACAATCATGGATATACCATAAAAAGAGTGTTAGTGTTTTAGAAGTACTGTATCCATTTGAAGAATGACGGGTGACTAAATGGTCATGGGTCTTCCTCCTCATGTCTTGCTGTGTGCTGTTCCGACTCTCCTGCAATATGGATCAGACTCTGAGCCTATCGTATGGTGAGACTCCCAGATGGATGCTATGTCTAAATATGATGGGTGGTTATGTGTGCACAACCTATGGCATGTACACCACCATACAATATCTTTTACCCCTTAGCCTCCACAATGACGTAACCCATCCACATTAAGCAAAAGTCTCTCTTCATCTTTTATTTTTCTGATTTCCCTCTTTCCTATTTCTCTCCTTCAGTACAGCTTTTCCCTTTGATGCATTGTATTTTTCTCCTGCTATACCTTAGGACAGCTAGTGGTATTTTTGGACGCTATTTACCCAAACATGGAGTATCTTAGGGTTAGGAATGTTTTAGGGTCTTGGTCTATATTTAATATAATCATGTGATAAATATATATCTAGTATCAAAATGGGTAGAAGCATTGAGGTTACAAAGCTTGAATCTTACATAGTATTTGATGACCTCAGTGTCGAAGAGAACAGGCAAACGAGTAAGTTGGTGGCCCCAGCATGTCGGGTAAGGGCTGGAATTCTGAGAGTAGTGAGGAAACCCAGAGGAGCAGGTGTGCAGAGTGATGAACCTCAGTAAACATGTGGTTAGCAGCGAGCTAGCACTCATTTTATTTTGAAAGAGATTTTCCTATCATGCCTTTCCCCCAGATAAAATTATTCAATGGCTCCCCACTAGTAAAAGAAAAACTTCAGCCAAATTAAATTTGAAGGAGTTTAATTGAGCAATGAATGATTCTCAAAATTAGGCAGCCTTCCCAGCCAGACTAGGCTCCCAGACTCCAGCTCAGCCACATGTTGGAAGAAGATTTATGGACAGAAAAAGGAAAGTGAAGTACAGAAAATGGAAGTGAGGCACAGAAACAGCCGGATTGGTTACAGCTTGGCATTTACCTTATTTGAACATGGCTCGAACAGTTGGCTACATTTGATTGGCCAAAACTCGGTGATTGGCACTAGGGTAGGCTACATTCTGCTTACACTTCACTTGTTACAGTTCACAATGTACAGAAAAACCTTTAGGCCAAACTTAAATATGTAAGGAGGCAGCTTTAGATGAAACTTGATTTAATACCATGTTCCCTTGAGTAAATTTTAAAATGTATTTCTTTTCAATGTTATTCAATGTCATCTTCCACGTGCTCCCCTTCCCCTGACATCCTCCCAGTCACATCTACTGCCTGCTGCTACCCACAGCCAAATATCCCTCTGTACGGGCCTTCACATATGCTTCTTATCTGCTAGTCCTGACCCTTTAGCTCATACCTAAAGGGATCTTTCCTCACATTTATGTAGATGGAATGCTGCAAATCCCGGGTTAAATGCTACTTCTCCAGGAAGCTGGCTTTTATGCCCCCATAGTGATTTCTCCATAGAGAAATGTTTACTTCTCCTTACCATTTGTGCCAGAAAATGTGAGACTCACTAGAACAACCCTGAAACAATGGGTTTGGAAAGAGGAAGAATTAAATTAAAAGGCCAACAATGAGGAAACTTTGATTTCTGGGGGGCCACAGGGTCACCCCGATATAAAATTGCATCTGCGTTGTGATCAGTTTCTAAAGGTAAAAGCCACCCATGGAATTCGGAAATAGTGATAGACCCAGCCAATGGAATTGAGAAACAGTGATAGACCCAGCCAATGGAATTCAGAAATAGTGATAGACCAGCTTCTAAAGAGTTGATCTATTGGATGTACAGGGAAGTGCAAAAAAAAAAAAAAAAAAGGAAAAAGTGAAATATATAATCCCTTGGTTCTTGTTATAATAGCTAAACTGAGAGAAAAAAAGGGTGCTGACACCAACCTCAGATTTTGGTCAGTCTGAGATATGGCCACTAGTCTCAAAGCCATCCTCGAAGGGAAAAAATATGCTGGAATATGCTCTGAAACATCTGGTCATCGAAAAGAGAGTCCAGGTAAGACAGGAAAAATCAAGAAACTACTGAAACCAGGGGTGCAGCATGACGAAGTTATATCAACAGTTTATGGAAGAACCTTTACTGAAATAAATGTAGGAGTAATTAATTCAGAGTCAAGTTTCTTTGGTTTTTGAATACTGCAGAATAGAAAAGCATGTTTGGGTTGATACAAGATCCACAGCTCACTATGGAACAATCATAGATCACCACACATGATCCAGACACATAGCAGGTTATTCCCTAGGGATCAATTAGCCTACTAGGCTAAATAAAAGACAGTATAAAGTTGTTTACCCTGAGGAGGACTATCCTATTTCCCCTATAAATGCCCATTGGAACATCCCAGGTGAAGGGGCTGGTATGTTTTGTGTGCAAGCCATGCTGGCTTGGCTTTATGATGCTCAGGATATTCATCCACTGTTTGTTTCCCTTATGCAGGGCATGGTTAATGCTATGGTTAAGGGGCCCCCTTTGTATAATCACTCAGTGTAGCTTTACTGCTGCAAAATCAAGCAACAGTCCAAAGAGCCCTATGGATTTGCTATCTCTGCTTCCCCTTATGTGTCTTAGAGATACACACAACAACAACAAAACATAATTAACAAGAAAATGGAGAGAGAAGAGAATCAAGAGATTCATTTTAGCAGGGTGGAAAACTTTAGATGACTATTAACAAATTGAATAAATAAAGTAAACGTTAATGGTGTTGAAACAAAGGTCTGAATGCAGTGCTATGGAAGGTTGCAGGGACCAACAGGAACCATTGCTGATCCCCCTTTGGCCGGTTTCCCCATTACAGGGCCCTACACAAGTCTATTTGTGTCAGTTTGGAGTAATTTTAAAGGCCAGAAAACAAAGATTCCAATGAGGAACCCAGCCTGGAATCACCTGGACAATGGTCAGGCAGATTAATCAAGATAAAGTTTATGGAGGGGCCAGAGTCCCATAGCTGAACCCCTTGCCGTTTGAGTGGCAATTACTAGCTTGTGATCAGACTTTAATTGAAATGGACTCTATAACTGAAGGACACAAATTAATCTTGAAACCTAAAATATGATCATGGCTTGAGTGATAGTGAAGAAAGGCTTTAATAGGAAGGACAATAAACAGAAAATTTTCGTAGTCAAATGGAATTTGTTTATGGGGACATGCTACCAGGGTGTTTTAGTCCCTTTCTGCTGCTATAACAAACTACCTGAGACTGGGTAATTTATAAAGAACAGAACGGGCCTTTGCGGCTTTGCCTCGTGGAAATGATTTTTCACAGTTCTGTGGACCAGGAAGTCTAAGATCAAGGCTAGTGGAGTTTGTGCCTGGTGAGGACCCATTCCTCATAGTTGGTGGCATCTAGGTGTCCACACATGGCAGAAGGTGAAAGACCAAAGGCCTCAGCTAGATCCCCCCAGTCCTTTTTGTTCTGTTTTGTTTTTGAGTCTCACTCTGTTGCCCAGGCCGGAGTGCAGTGACATGATTTTGGCTCACTGCAAGCTTCGCCTCCTGGGTTCACACCATTCTCCTGCCTCAGCCTCCCAAGTAGCTGGGACTACAGGCACCCACCACCATGCCTGGCTAATTTTTTTGTATTTTTGTAGAGACAGGGTTTCACTGTGTTAGCCAGGTTGGTCTCCATCCCCTGACCTTGTGATCCGCCCGCCTCGGCCTCCTAAAGTGCTGGGATTACAGGTGTGAGCCACTGTGCCTAGACACCCAGCCCTTTTATAAGATGCTAGTCCATTCTTGAGGACAAAGCTCTCATGACTTAGCCACTTTCTAAAAGGTCCCACCTCTTAATACCACCACAATGGGGATTAAATGTCAACATATGAACTTCAAGGGACATCCAGATCATAGCACAGGTCAATGTAAATTTATCCAGCGTGTTCACAGGCAGAGCGACTCTTTTTCCCCTAGGATGGACTTTGGGACCACCTGGGGGTTATGCAGAGGGCAATGGAAAACTGGCCTATGGAGGGCTTGCCTTGTGGAAATGATTACAGGAATTTGAGGGGTGCATTGAAGTGGGACATGCCAATGCCTATCAGAAACCCCCCTTCTAGGATTAGGAGGTACTTGGAGCCAGCAAGAGGATATCCTGGTGTGCTCGCTTGAGATGGCCACTGGGTTCACGTAATGAGTGAATATTGTGAGGCTGCAGCAGCCCAGAGATGGGCTGAATTACATTTATTCCTTTGTACCTTCTGAGGCACAAAATGCTCGTAAAGATTCTTCTTTTTGTTAACAAGAGAGACACAGACTATAGATGGCTATGGAGCAGAGAAGCTGGGAGGAAGGCCCTGTAAGCCGAATGGATGACATTAGTCCTGGGGGGTGGACGAAGGGGTATAGACAGGACTAGACACTTGCTCGAGACTTGGCTTTGCTTACCCAGAAACAGATGCAAATGATCAGAGACAACGGAACAGATTATTCTGCACCAATTTGAATGAACAAGTCATATTTTCTTAGTTCAGGAAACACTTTTGTCCTAACAGTAATGGTTTGATAGAGAATTGAAATGGACAATTAAAACATTGGTCATCGGCTGGGTGCGGTGGCTCATGCCTATAATCCTGGTACTTTGGGAGGCCAAAGCAGGCGGATCACCTGAGGTCGGGAGTTCGAGACCAGCCTGACCAACATGGAGAAACCCCGTCTCTACGAAAAATACAAAATTAGGGCTGGGCACGGTGGCTCAAGCCTGTAATCCCAGCATTTTGGGAGGCAGAGGTGGGCGGATCACGAGGTCAAGAGATCGAAACCATCCTGGCTAACACAGTGAAACCCCGTCTCTACCAAAAATACAAAAAAATTAGCCAGGCGTGGTGGCGGGCACCTGAAGTCCCAGCTACTCCGGACATTGAGGCAGGAGAATGGTATGAACCCGGGAGGTGGAGCTTGCAGTGAGCCGAGATCGAGCCACTCTGCACTTCAGCCTGGGCAACAGAGTGAGACTCTATCTCAAAAAAAAAAAAAAAAAAAATTAGCTAGGTGTGGTGGCACATGCTTGTAATCCCAGCTACTCCGGAGGCTGAGGCAGGAGAATCGCTTGAACCTGGGAGGCAGATGTTGCAGTGAGCCAAGATCGTGCCGTTGCACTCCAGCCTGGGTAACAAGAACAAAACTCCATCTCAAAAAAAAGTAAAATAAAATAAAATAAAAAATTTGGTCATCTAAAATAGGGATAAAAATAGGCATGAAGGGCCGCCTTATATGTTTTCTTGAGTGTGTGCTCACATTCAAAATGAGGGCGCCAAGCGGGTGGTCCCACTAGATAGATTCCTCCACTTTTCTGAGGGTCCTAAGGAAGAGGTAGGGCAAATGTTGTGATGAGTATACAATTCTTCTTACAAAGGAGTTGTGATTACAGCTTTCTTTCTTCCCCACATCACCTCAAATTTCTTTTACCTACCTGCTATGGTGGTCTCGGGCCCAGGGCTGCAAAATACCAGAAGGAGGGATAATTCCTAAGTAAAAGCTGTAACTGTGCTTCCTAAGGACCAGATGGGGTAGATTGTGTCTTTACCCCATCTGGCAAGACTGAGGTTGACAGGAAATGCAGATGTATTGCTTAGTGGTTGACACGCCCCCTAGTTCTGTACCTCATCCTATATGAATGGGAGTCCACTGAGTGGAAGGCACTCGCTAAACTTGTATTGCTGCCAGGAATCTAGACCAGCACAATGGCTGAACCTAATGTGCTTTCTAAATGTGGAAAAGCTTAGAAACTCATAACTGGTGAGAAGAAGAAACACTAGTAGATTATAACAATGAATGTCTGGGTTACACAATGAGGAAAATTCAATATTATATTAATACTTTAAGAGGGGCTGAAGGCAAGAGATGATATTGTCTCTTAGCTCAGCGATTCCAGATGCTGGAAAGAGTGAAGCCATATATTGCTGAAAGCACTCCTGCTTGTGGAACTTGAGAGAATTGAACAGAAGCTGCGAACGTGAGTGATGTCACCCTGGGAGACATTTTGGTTACACCATATGATGATGGGCTGTACTAATTATTAATGACTGAATGAGATTCTAGTAATATGTCAATATTTGTTACTCTTATTTTTCAGATTATTTTACCATATTGAAATATGGTCAAACACTGGCATAATCGGTAAAATTATAATACTGGTAATGACAGTCAAATATACTGGGAAATTGAGTTAAAAGCTTTTTATTCGTACTCTACAGTAGCTCCTCCACATTTTAGACATATAAAAGAACCATAGTCAAAAGCCACAGGGTCGCCTGTTGTGTAATGAAGAATTAGACTGGCCTTTGTCCCTGGCCCCTGGAAGACTCTCAAACTCTTGGGAATTCCTGAGTAATAGGAGTGTCATTGTTATTCATGTGCTCCTCGGATCACACCTGAATTTGTGCTTAAGAAAAAGGTAAGCTGTGCCAAAAAGAGCAGCCAAGTGATTGGAGAGTCGGGCTTTGAGACACCAGATGTTAAGTTTGACCTCCAATCTCTGAGGGGTGGGGCTAGAGATTCAGTTAAAATATGTGGCCAATGATTAAGTCAATCCTGCCTTTGTGACACAGTCTCAGTAACAACTGGGGGCGCCGAAGCTCAGGGAAGCTTCCTGGCTGGTAAACATGTGGATATCCTGAGAGGATGACAGGTTCAGATTCCGCACGGAGGGGCATGGAGTCTCTGTGTGTGGACCCTCCCAGACTTTGCCAGATGTGTTTCTTCCTTGGCAGGTCCCAATTTTTATTACTTATAATAAAACTAAGCATAAGTATTTCCTGAGTCCTTTGAGTTGTTCTAGCAAATTATCAAACTCGAAAGGGTCATGGTGATGCCCACATTTCTAGCCAGTTGTTCAGCAGTGCAAGAGGACTGGGGACACCAGAAGTATGGCTGGTGTCTGAAGGAAGGTCAGTCCCTTAAATCTGTGGCACCTGTAGCTAACTCCAGGTGGTAAGCATCAGAACTGTGTTGCAGTGTTCGAACTACCATTTGACATAGTTTTCCCATTATGTTACAACTTCTCATTGCAATCCCTGTAAGCTCCTTGAGGGCAGGGATTATATTTTACACTTCTTTGCCTTGAATGTAGTAAAAATTTAACAAGTGGATTAATAGTAGGTTAAAAGGCATTTTCCAAGAAAAAGACTTGTTTTGCTAATTATTTAGTTATAGAATGCTCTTATTTGTTCTAAAGACAAGGAATAGCCAAACTGAGGCCCGGGAGGTAAGGAGATGGGCTTGGAAGGTCGCTAGGCCTCTAGTTCTGGCAACCCAGTGTAAAATCCCAGGTCTAAAATGCGCTAGCTGAAGGACCTTGGGCAGGTTATTGCATCTTTTTACACCTCAGGTTGCTCATTTACAAAATGGAATAAATACTAATTTTAGGCCATTTTGTGGTGACTATGAAATGCAAGTTCTTAACATAATGCCTAGTTTTATGCTGAATAAGGATTAGCTCATACTAATGGTTAAAAGAAAAAATTGACTCAGGGAAATATGAAGATTGATATTTTTTTAAATGGGGGTTGGTGGTTTGGAAACCAATAAGCACTGTTAGTCTTTCTATTTCTTTTTAATTGAATAAGCAGTAAGCCAAAACAACTATGACTTGCTTGATGTTTTAAAATACTTCTATTATGTAGACCAAACTTAAAACTGTAAGAAAAGCTGTTTGAGACACCATCCTAAAGAATCACACAATTAAAATTCTAGTTTCTCAGATGCTAATGTTTTTTATTATTTTATTATTTTAACCCATCAAGTCTATGAAGAAAGACAAGAAAACTGTAAAACAAATCGAACAGCAAATTAAAAAGAAAGTGGTGAAAATTTACAGTTGAGAAAACAGTGCCCACTCCTGACATATACTCCAGAATAGCTTTATTCTCTCTTCCAATATTTGCATCTTAATTTGTAAACAAAATTATTCATGCAGCTGTCCATTGACATTCCAGAACTTTAAAGGTAGGATGCAAATTAGGATCCAAATTAGGATGTAAAGTCCGTGAACCACTCAAACAAGTTGCAGTGAGATTACACTCCTACCTGGTGATTATTCCTGATTCATCAGAAGAGGCAGTATCTGTTCATTTCAAAACTAACTTGACACTGATTCCTTCCAGGTGCTTAAAAAGTCAGTTTCCAAAGCAATTAAACATGAACAAAGTGCATCAGAACTTCATCTCAGTAATTCATCATAGTAACATAAATTTTTTTCATGCAAAATTATAAAATGGGGATTGGAAATTGGATGCCAAATATTGTTTGAGAACTCATTTTTGATAGCCACATGAGCAGATGGCTGCTAACAGTTGCAAGCAGGGAACCAGGAGCCAGGCAGTCTGCGTTTAAGTCCAGCTCTGCTGCGTACTAGCCCGGCTCCCTCTGTGTCTGTCTTTCAGTGCCTCAGTGTTCTCACCTGTAAATCAGAATCAAAACAGGACCTCCCGCACAGGGCTGTGGTGAGGATTAAATGGATTATTCCATGTCATCAGTATAATGCATGGCACCAAGGAGGCCTCAGGAGATGTTTTGATCATGATCCTGCATATTTATCTCTAAAAGATGAAGACAACTGTTTCAGAAATTACCATGAGATAGACTATTACATTTTCAAATTCCTAAGGTGAAGAATTGAATAGAAAGGCTAGAAAAGTACAGTGAAGCCTTTGTGGACAGAGAGGGTTTACTTCCTCAAGCATTTGTAGGCCCCCAGTCCTGCTGTCATTCGTTTTTTCCCACAAGCAGAAATGTAATTGCCTATCTCCAGTGATAAATAAAGGGTGCTGAGCACCAACCCACTGTGCAGTCTGAGGACTTTCTTCAATGTCACAGGGCTGAGCTTCTAGGATGTCCATAGGAACGAGGCACACACAGGGCTGGAGGGTGTGATGGCTGACTCCCTGTTTTCATGAGCTGCAGGGAGGGTGGGATCTGGACCTGGGCCTCAGACCCAGCGTCACCCTCTCTGCTGCTTTTGGGGCCCAGAGTGCATCAGAGAGAAGACAAAGTCCTGTCCCTCCCTGAGCGATGTGGATACACCATCCAGAACTTTGTAGTTTTTTGTTGTTTTTGTTTGTTTTGTTTATTTTTTTGAGACAAAGTCTCGCTCTGTCACCCAGGCTGGAGAGCAGTGGCACGATCTTGGCTCACTGCAACCGCTGCTTCCTAGGTTCAAGCAATTATCCTGCCTCCATCTCTGGAGTAGTTTGGATTACAGGCACCCACCACCATGCCTAGCTAATTTTTTCTATTTTTAGTAGAAATGGGGTTTTATCATGTTGGCCAGACTGGTCTCGATCTCCTGACCTCAAGTGATCTGCCTGCCTCAGCCTCCCAAAGTGCTGGGATTACAGGCGTGAGCCACCGCGCTCAGCCCTCTCAAGAACTTTTGTAATAAGAATGGGTTGTGCATGAAAATAAGCTCCAGTTGTTTGTATCAGAGACTGACATTCACCTAACATATAATCGTTATACATGTGGATGTAAAAGTTATACTGATTATACTATTCACAATAGCCAAAAGGTGGAAACAACCCAAACTTATCCACTGATGAATAAGTGAACAAAGTGTGGTACATTGGCAAAATGAAATATTCTTCAGTCATTTAAAAAGAATGAAGTGTTGGGCCAGGTGCAGTGGCTCACACCTGTATTCCCAGCACATTGGGAAGCCGAGGTGGCTGGACCACCTAAGGTCAGGCGTTCCAGACCAGCCAGGCCAACATGGCCATACGTCGTCTGTACCAAAAATACAAAAAAAAATTAGCTGGGCGCAGTGGTGTGTACCTGTATTCCCAGCTACTAGGGAGGCTGAGGCAGGAGGATCGCTTGAACCTGGGAGGTGGAAGTTGCAGTGAGCTGAGATCACGCCACTGCACTCCAGCCTGGGCAACAAAGTAAGACTCTGTCTCCAAAATAATAATAATAATAATAATAATAATAAATAAATAAAAACAAAAGAATGAAGTACTGATACAATGTAGATGAACCTCAGAAACATGATGTTTTATGAAAAAGCCAGGTACTGTATGGCCCCTTTACATGAAATATGCAGAATAGGTAAATGCATAGAGACAAGGGGCAGGCTAGTGGTTTCCCAAGGCTGAGGAAGAGGCAAAGGGAGCGATGGCTTTATGTGTATGGAGTTTCCTTGTAAGCTGATAACCATGTTTTGGAACTAAATAGAGGTAATGGTTGCCCAGCACCATGAATGTAGTAAATGCCACTGAACTGTACATGTTAAAATGGTTAATTTTATGTTGGGTAAATTTTACTTTGATTTTTTAAAAACTGATTTTTATTTATTATTATTATTATTATTACTATTATTATTTTTTATTTATTTTATTTTATTTTATTTTTTTGAGACGGTGTCTGGATCTGTCGCCCAGGCTGGAGTGCAGTGGTGCAATCTCAGCTCACTGCAAGCTCCGCCTCCTGGGTTCACGCCATTCTCCTGCCTCAGCCTCCCAAGTAGCTGGGACTACAGGCGCCCGCCACCACGCCTGGCTAATTTTTTTGGTATTTTTAGTAGAGACGGGATTTCATCGTGTTAGCCAGGATGGTCTCGATTTCCTGACCTCGTGATTCGCTCGCCTCGGCCTCCCAAAGTGCTGGGATTACAGGCGTGAGCCACCATGCCCGGCCTAAAAACTGATTTTTAAAAAATCAGGCTCGGTCTGTAAGAATGAGTTAATTCTTCCTGTGAGTGTCAAACGTCCCCTATTAGAGATAACAGGAGTCCTGCAGCTGCTTGGTGAGAAGTTAGACCCGCAGCTCTTCACATTCTTGTGCAGTTTTCAGAGGTCAGAAACATCTTTATTGCACCAAGAAGCCCCCTCACCACCACCACGAAAAATAAATATAAATGCCAGATAAAAAACAAAAAGCAGCTACTTGCCGGTGTCAGAGAGTGATCACAAAGGCCAGGAATGGAAGGGCCAAGAATCCAGGGAGAAGGGAAATGCGTTGAATTGGGTCAGCGTTCTCCCTGCACGTATTTGCTGCTTGTTCAGTATTGAAGGTCAGAGAGACCGAGCAGAATGCTTAGAAACTGTTGACAGTTTCCTAGGTCTGGGGAGATAAAAGTGGAGTTCAGGGCTATAGAGGCAGTGAGCGAAGGCTGGAGGCGCTCAGATCCTCCCGCGGGGAAGGGGTTCTGAGCTGCATCCTAAGGCACTCACCGTTGTCAGTCCGACGAAACTGCTGGAGAGAAGGTGAGGACAAGAGTTCTGAGGGTATTAACTGTGGCCCAAGAAAACTCACCAAGATCCTGGGGAAATCAAAACCTCCAAACAAGGAGGGCAGGCCCCGGGCCTCTGGTGTTGCAGCGGTGGGGGTCCCATGTGGGTACAAGGACAGCTGAACGGACCCGCTCTGTAGCCTCTCGGGCACAGGCTATGGTGAAATACACACCTCCCCATGGCACAGTGAACCCTGAGAGCACTATTTCTAGTCCCTGACGTCCACTCACCGCTGCATGGTTTGGGCTTTCACCTGACCACCTGTCCCTACAGCCTGCCTTTGCTCTCTGCCTTCTCCACCCTCTCCCCATAGCATTCCTTTCCCTGGCTTCCTTCCTCTGGGTTCAGGAGTCGCTGAAAGGCCTGGAATCCCACAAAGGGTCAATATCGTCGTGCCCACTTCAGGCAGGAAGAGATCCATGTTCGCTCCCCACATGATGATAGAAACAAAATCTGTCGGCTGGGCACGGTGGCTCACACCTGTAATCCCAGCACTTTGGGAGGCCGAGGCGAGCGGATCACGAGATCAGGAGATCGAGACCATCCTGGCTAACATGGTGAAACCCCGTCTCTACTAAAAATTACAAAAAATTAGCCAGGCGTGGTGGCGGGCACCTGTAGTCCCAGCTACTCAGGAGGCTGAGGCAGGAGAATGGCCTGAACCCGGGAGGCGGAGCTTGCAGTGAGCCGAGATCGCGCCACTGCACTCCAGCCTGGGAGACAGAGGGAGACTCCCTCCCAAAAAGGAAAAAAAAAGAAAGTCTTTCAGGAGGAGAATTCTGTCCCCTCTGAATGAGGGGAGCCTGGCAGGACCCTCTGCTGAACAGATGCCCAGGGCTTTCTAACCGCAGGCGTCTGTAGCAGGGTGGGAGCGTGTAGGTGCTTCGGGAGCACCCGAAGCAGCTACAAAGGCCCTGGCTGGTGGCTGGTGAGAGAATCCTACAACATCCAGGTGTCCTGAGCGAGGGTGTGTAGGCTGCGGGGAGGGAGCTATGAGTGTTGCTGAGGCCAACCTGGAATGTCTTCTTTGTGAGCACAGACTCCCACCTGGCGGTCCCCCAGGTGCCTGGCTGTCTGTTGGGAAGCCGTTCTCTGCCCCTCGCCCCACCCCCACCTCACCAGTTAGGAAACCTGGCAGGAATCTCCCCACGGATCCCTTCACACCTGCTTGGAAGGTTGGGGAGCAGGATGCTGACCCCTTTGTGTGGTTCCAGGCTATAATAGCTAATTAACCTGGTAAATAACAATTAATCTAGTGAACCTAAATTTGAATACCCTTTATATGAGTTTTCTTTTAATGTGTAGTATTTATCAAAAGAAATAATCTTCTTTAAATTGAACTGTGTGGGGTATCTGATATTTGTGCATACACACACACAAACACACACACACACATATATTGCATGTTCCATGGTACAGCATAGTACAGGAAACCAGGTGAATGGAGGGTCTGCTCTCAGCTGATGACTGGCAGACCAGCCACTGAGGAAGTGAGCAGGGCTGCCAGAGAGCCTGGGAAAGCACTGCCTATGGGGAGGGGCGGGGAGGGAGAGGGCAAGGGAGGCTTTAGGGACAGGTGGCAGGAGATGGGGTGGGTGATGTGCGTGGAGTTTCCATCCACCTCTACCTATGAGCAAGAGCAGCCAGGAGAATGCCACACATGCCCCATGTCCTGGGCCTTGTGTGAATAACTCTGGATTCTGCTTCTCTGTAGGTTTTTTTTTCTCAGTTGAGTTTCTCACTAATTCTCTACTGTATTAGTCCATTTTCACACTGCTAATAAAGACATACCTGAGACTGGGCAATTTACAAAAGAAAGAGGTTTAATGGACTTATAGTTACAAGTGGCTGAGGAGGCCTTACAATCAGGGTGGAAGGCAAGGAGGAGCAAGTCATGTCTTACATGGATGGCAGCAGGCAGAGAGAGAGAGAGTTTATGGAGGGAAAATCCTCCTTATAAAGTCATCAGATCTCATGAAACTTTTTCACAATCACAAGAACAGCATGGAAAAGACCTGCCCCCATGATTCAATTACCTCCCACTGTGTGCCTCCCGCAACATGTGGGAATTCAAGATAAGATTTGGGTGGGACGAAGCCAAACCATATCATCTACCCCCACAGAAAAAGATGCATGAGGAAGGGAATCTCAGGAACAAGGAATTGATTCCAGTGTGAAACTTCCTCCTAGATGCACATGCAAAATCTTTAGTTTTGTGTTTCTTCAGGACACAGCTTGGGATCATCTGTGATGTCCTCCTTTCCCCGGCAAAGCGGATAATGCTGCCATGGGGCCAGGCCTGCCCTCATGCAGCTAGGGGTCACATCTGCCTGCACACAGCATGGGAGAGTGTGGAGGAGGAGGGACAGGACCCTATTTCCAGACAATTGTCTAACAGGAAGAGGATCATAAAATCCTAAGATTGGCTAATCAACCTCCCTGTTCTACAGATGAAGAAACTCACACTCCCAGGACAAGTGACCTCTCAGGACCACACAGAAAGAGAGTTGATGTAATAATTGTAGTAAGTGTTAGAACTAGCCAACTCTGATTATGGGCTGACTCATTTCATAGCACCTTATATAAATTATGCCTTTTAAATCTAGAAATTGGGTTCTGCTGTCATTATTCAGAATTTTAAAATGACAAAACTGAAGCCAAGTGAGATGAAATAATTTTCCTAATTTTCTGAACTCAGAAGTGGCAGAGCTGAGCGTTCCACCCAGGCAGCCTCGGCACTTTCAGCTTAGGGACCCAGCCATGTATTCAGTGCACCAGCACGCAAAGCCTGCCATTCCTGAAGGCTGTTTTTGAAAATGTGCAGGTTACTTCCTTGAGACCCACATTTGGCAGACCTGACCCTTCTCACCATAGTGTAATCAATGTTCAGCCCCCTTCTCCAATTTAAAGTGACAATTAGTAGGCTCTGTGAAGAATGAGGCATTTTCAGATGTTTTTGGAGAGAGGGGTCGTGATGCACTTATCTGGAGATTACTTGTCTAGGAAACTAACTACTGAAGTGTATGCAAATGAAACTGTTGCAGACACAACAAAACAGTATACAGTCAACAGCTAGACTATACTCAGCAAAGCGCAATAAAAATCCAGTACACTTAGATTTGCCTAAACTTTAAATGAGTTTTCTTTGAATACCTAGTATTTATCCAAGGGAATTGTTTTTAAACTTAAATGTGTATACGTATCTTGTGTTTGTGTGCACACACACACAAACACCCCCCCACACACACATATTCCATGTTCCATAGTATAGTATAGGAAACAAGGGAACACATCAGCTTTTGCCATCTTCATGACAAGCCAGGAATTAAAACTAAGTAAATTAAATACTAATGAAATATAATCCTTTAATTTCTAAGCAAACATTACTTTGACTTTAATTTAATCAACAAGATTATTTAACGTTCATTGAAAAATCCATATTCCTGCGTTTATACTCATGAAGCTTAACCAATTACAGAAGAATACAATACAAATAGTTTCTAAATGGACATAGAATTTAAATTCAGATTTTAATGAACTAACTTCTGGACATTGTAGAGTAGATAATGTAGTCAGAATTTTGCAAACGTTGGAGTGTATACTTAGTAATGGAGTTGATTAATAAATGTAAATGCAGTAAGATTGAGAATGGAATAGATTAAAACTTTATTTTATTCTTCTTGCCAGCTCTGTGGCTACATGGGTGTGAACCAGAACGAGGCAGAAGGGATCTATTTTTCTATTTAGTGCCAATGAGCCCCCATGGATCTATGCAGGGGCAGGGTGCTTTGTGCAGATGAAGGTAAAATCCCTCCCTGAGAGCAGGTCTGTGCTCAGGGGTGTTGGCTTCTCCATTCACAAGCGTCAGGTGGAGCTTGGGTGGAAACCACCTTGATTCTTCAGGGCAGCTGCTCTGGTTTGTTCCAGTTTTAGAGTTAGATTGTTTCCTTTAAGAGCCCTCTACCTCACAGTAACAGACTCTGGTATGGATTTGCATTAGTTGTTTATTTTGTTTTGTTTTTGCCCAAGTAAGAAATTGCACATTTTTCCTTGCACTCTAAAGTCAAAAAGCCGAAGTGGGAATCATTATAAATGCAACATCTGAGTTTCTGTTATAGCTCCTTGTTCTTGGAAATGTTTCATTTGCATCAAGGTCGTGCCAGACATGGTAATGAAGGCCCTGAACAGAGGGAGAACCATCAGGGACTGCTGTGTGAGCAAAGCGTGGACTTTCATCCTGAAAAATGAGTGCATCCGTAACAACATCCTCAAACATAGACGGCTCTGATTAGCGCTCCAGGAGCCCTCTCTCTAAAAACATCTGAAAATGCCTCCTTCTTCCCGGGGCTCACACGAATGGGGTAAGTCTCACGAAGGAGGGGCCTTGGTGCTCAGGAGGTGAAGCGTGCGCCGTTCTCCAGGTGTGCACGTGGGTCCGAGGAATCAGGAGCTCAGGCCGCACAGCCCCGCTGCTGCCGATCACTGCTCACAGCCCCTGAGCCCTGCTCAGAGGCAGCAGCATTTCCTACAAGGGGCAAGGTGCGGCAGTCACCAGGACACCCTGGCTCTTATTTGCAACAGCTGCTGCATTACCTAATAGCCACCCATGGCTTCACGACGAGGGATGCTCACAGCCCCCTGCAGAGCAGCCGCCTTGTTCCAGCGCCACAGGGAAGCGTCTGCCTTGACTTCCACCCACGCAGTGTCCGCTTCCACACAATCACCCTGAAAGGCAAAGGCTAAACACTTTGGTAATCCAAAACAGTAAACCCCAATTGTGCTACTCATAGTCCAATTTCTAAAATTTTACACTACAGCTGTTGAAAAATTCTAATGTTTATTTCACTGCCAGAATCAGCAGGGTAATGGATGTTTCAGCAATAAACATCATGAGCAACACATGAAATCTAATTAGCATCATTCCAATTTGCAACAGTTAAATAAATTATTACTCTGGGCTTCCTCCCCCCTAGATACCAATGCTTAGATTCCTGTAAAAATGTCAACTCTAGAAAAATCCTCTTTCCACTTCCAATTTTTTCTAATTCAATCTGTTTTCTAGTATTTCTTTAGAAACAAACTAATGAAATTCTCTATCACCCAGCTGTATTTACAACAGAGTAAGCTTTGTGACACCCTATACATGGAGTTTGCACAGCAGCAGTATCCATGGGAAAAAATAGTGGGACTGTGTCCCAGTGATCACAGACGAAGGATGCCAGGACACTCTGTCAAAGGAAACTCAGACCTCCACATAGGATGCTTGACTCAGGTCCCAGGTACTGTCACCATGACTGTCCCCCACAATTTTCCCAGGAGGGAGGCACGAGTAGGAGAGAACAGCCCCTGTGATGTCAGGGCCAACCTGTCTCCAGCCTCCGTTCTGCTAAGTGACTCTAGAAGTTCCTCTCCCATCTCTGGCCCAACTGACCATGTGTCGGATGCCTGGGAAAAGGGAACACAGACTTGATGATGATTCCTGGTTCCGAGCTCATGTCACTGTGCTCCCAGGCTGTTGACACAAGCAGGAGCCCTGGGTTTCTTGGATTCTAGCACATAGTTAATAACACAAACCCTGACAGCCTAGGTTTGAGCTGGGGTTGGTTAGGGGTGGGCGGTGGTAGGGGAATAACTTGGGAAAGTTATTTAACCTGCCTGGGTCTAAATTTCCTTGTCGCAAAGTAGGGAAAATAGTTGTATTTACATGGCACGTCTGTGATGTGAATTAAATGTCTGGCACCTAGAACAGTGCCTGGCCCCCAGGATTTGGTGTGTAAAGAGTCCAGGTATTGGTACGAGTCCATGTCAACTGTCTTCCCTGATCCCCAAACCCAGCTGCACCCATTAGTAACTAAAATGAGGCGGGCAAAGGGGATGAGTGGTGAGTGGCAGTGATTGCTAAAGACAGGTCCAGAGACTATATTTCTTAAGACATTCTGGGTCAGGAATAATTACATATAATCCAGCCAATAATTCCAAATCTATGTATTTATTTAATAAGCTTTTATTTAGGGCACGAAGGTGTCAAATTTTGTCCCAGGCACTTTACATATATTTAATCATTTAGTCTCCTCACAACCCATGAGAAATAACCATACTGTACTATCATTATCTACAAAGAAACATGAAGTAAGACCCTAGAGAGAGCCTCCAGCAAAAGGACATCTGTGG
This sequence comes from Homo sapiens, assembly GCF_000001405.40. Taxonomy (NCBI): domain Eukaryota; kingdom Metazoa; phylum Chordata; class Mammalia; order Primates; family Hominidae; genus Homo; species Homo sapiens. The sequence continues at coordinate 437,010 of NW_025791789.1, forward strand.
TCATCATACATTTTTCAAAAAAAGTTCAATGACAAAAAACCAGTTTTATAAAGTGTATGTTGAACTGTGATAAACTAGCAGTGCATTTAAGAGTGAAACACTGGCGTTAAAAATGAAAGCATCCTTGGAAAACAATCCAGCCCACCTTTTTGTCTCTGTTTTGGTACAATTGTGTTTTTTGTAAACTTCACAGCAAACAACAATATTTTTACCTTTGCATCCTTCTGTCCTCCCTGAAAGCTAACTCTCTAGAGGGAGAGAAAACAATATGGGGTTTGATGCAAGGCAGTGCCTAGCGCCAGGGCAGAGGGATGCACGTGCCTTATAGGAGCCCTTAGGGGCAGCGGGCGGGGCAGCAGCACAGACGCATACTTGGCACTGTTCAGAAGGAGGGATGTTCCAGGTGCTGGGCGAAGCAGAGGAGGCGCAGCCGTGGGGCAGGGCACAGTGAGGCTGGGCATGTGGTGGCCCATGGGCACCTTGGTAAACCTGCTTGGGGGCTTCTGAGCCTCCACTTGTTGAAAAACAGAAGAAAGCCAAGGGTTAAGCCAGTAGAGGAAGGAACCACAAAGGTGTTTTTGCATGGTTAAAACAAGGAGATGGTCGAAGTATGATTTCATGGATCTGTGGTTTATCCACATGCAAAGAGAATTTTTTTCTTAGGTTCAGAACACTAAAAGAAGATAACAGTGTGAACAAATCTCCCAGGGAATCCACTCGAGAGATGAGGCACACTGACCACAGATGAGTGAGGTCCTCAATTATTAAAGTCTAGTTGCTCCATTAGGATGAAAGTCTCTGTGGGAAGTAACTTCTAATTAAAGCTGGAGGTGTTCCTTTATACTAGCAGTTCTTGAGGGAAACTGGGTTGGCCATCACAGTGGAGACTAGAGAAGGCTGGGGTGGTCCCTGGATACTAGAGGGAAGTTGGGGAGAAGTGGTGGACAGTGCAGCCCTGTCACAGCACAAGCTCCTGGTCATTGGAGAATGGCTGACAGAGGAAACCCTGCCATGACCTAAGCTCTTAAAGTGTCTGTCAAACTCTTAGGTTTATTAGACTTGAAGTCCAGTAGTCAAGCTCAGTAACTCATACCGGGTCTGATAAGCTGTGATGTCACATTCCCGAGGGGAGGAGAAGTAGCTCCAAGTTCTCATGTATGGGGTCTGATAAGACACCTTGTTCTCCAAGGGAGGGGAAAATACACTCCCAGTCCTTACTAAAGCAAGGCATATGTTGTCCAAAGGACCACCAGAATGGCTTGAGAGTAGAAAAAAGAGTTTTATCAGCAATATCAGTTTGCAAACCAGGGAGAGATCATCTCTGGTGAGAACCAACAGAGCTCTTGAGAGGTGAAGCCAGCTGGACTTCCTGGGTTGCGTGGGGACTTGGAGAACTTTTCTGTCTTACAAGAGGATTGTAAAACGCACCAATCAGTGCTCTGTAGCTAGGATTGTAAAACGCACCAATCAGCGCTCTGTGGCTAGCTAGAGGTGTCTAAAATGGACCAATCAGCACACTGTAAAATGGACCAATCTGTGCTCTGTAAAATGGACCAATCAGTGCTCTGTAAAATGGGCCAATCAACAGGACATGGGCGGGGACAAATAAGAGAATAAAAGCTGGTCACCCTAGCCAGCAGTGGCAACCTGATTAGGTCCCCATCCACACTGTGGAAGCTTTGGTCTTTCGCTTTTCACAGTAAATCTTGCTGCTGCTCATTCTTTGGGTCCGTGCCATCTTTAAGAGCTGTAACACTAGGCTGGGCACAGTGGCTCATGCCTGTAATCCCACCACTTTGGGAGGCTGAGGCAGGCGGATCACGACGTCAGGAGATTGAGACCATCCTGGCTAACACTGTGAAACCCCATCTCTACCAAAAATACAAAAAATTAGCCAGATGTGGTGGTGGGCACCTGTAGTCCCAGCTACTTGGGAGGCTGAGCAGGAGAATGGTGTGAACCTGGGAGGTAGAGCTTGCAGTGAGCCGAGATCACGCCAGATCACGCCACTGCACTCCAGCTTGGGCAACAGAGCAAGACTCCATCTCAAAAAAAAAAAAAAAAAAAAAAAACTAACACTCACCAGGAAGGTCCGCACCTTCATTCTTGAAGTCAGCGAAATGACGAACCCACCAGAAGGAACCAACTCCGGACACATCTTGGAGACCACGAAGGGACTATCGCCAAGTAGTGAGTACCACTGGAACCCTTTTGCTTGCTATTCTGTCCTATGTTTCCTTACAATTTGGGGGCTAAACACCAGGCACCTGTTGGCCAGTTAAAAGCGACTAGCACAGCCACCAGACTAAAGACACAGGTGTCAGGCTTTCTGGGAAAGGGCTCTCTAACAATCTCTGACTCTTCAGAGCTGGGAGCATTGGTTTGCCTGGAACCAGCTTCCGCTTTCCCTGTACTTCTGGGCTGAGCTGAGGGTCGATAGAGAGGAAAGCCATTCAGCTCCGGGGTCCCAACAAAAAGTTGGCTGACCCTGCAGCCATGAGAGGAACTCTCAAAGGCATGTCGCCCAAGCAAGACTCACCCATCTACCCTATCTATCCTGACCCTTGTCTCCTGGGTCCTAACGCCTGTCAGACAAACTTCCTCCTGTCTCTCTTCTCCGAGGCTAGTCCTGCTTCTAAAAACCACTCCCTGTCTCTGGTGCTTTTCTAGATTCTCCTATAAGAATGATTTCTAGTATAAATTTTGGGACTCTGTTCCTTTCTTTAGGCACCCAGGCTCACCAATCAGAAAGATATAATCTTTGCCCAAAGTCTTGTTGTGGGGTGGGGGACTATCTGGGATTTTAGGATCCCTCCTCAGACTAGCAGGCCTAACAAAGGTGATTCCCGAAGCTAGGATATGGGTAGCCTCAGAAATTATATCCTTCCTATTCATATGATAAGTGAGGACAAAATGTGTTACTCTTCCAACCTGGGAGATTCCTTCCCTCCTTCAGGGTATAGCCCTCCACTCTGTTTTGGGGGCATATCATCTTTATAGGACAGGGGTAAAGTCCCAATACTAACAGGAGAAAACTCTTAGGACTCTAACAGGTTTTCGAGAATGCATCGGTAAGGGCCACTAAATCTGACATTTCTCGGTCCTCTTTGTGGTATAGGAGGAAAACTAGTGTTTCTGCTGCTGCTTCGGTGAGCGCAACTATTCTGGTCAGCAGGGTCCAGGGACCGTTTTGGGTTACGGGGCAGGGCTTTCGCTCTTCACAATAAATCTTGCAGCTGCTCACTCTTTGGGTCCATGCCACCTTTAATAGCTGTAAAACTCACCGTGAAGGTCCATGGCTTCATTCTTGAAGTCAGCGAGACCACAAACCCACTGGAAGGAACCAACCCTGAACACACTCTCTCTGAAGAACGAAGAGAAGGTTAGAGGTTTTATAAAAAGGAGAAATGTTATGTATTCCTCTTTGAGTAAGTTCATTGGCACTAGGAAGGGTTTGGGGAGCTGGCAAGCTCTGAATAATGAGCAAAGGTGGTGCGAAAAAGTAGTCACAGAATTGTAGCAAGTTATCTCAGAAGCTATGGATAAAACTGGTCTCAAAAGCAGTTCCAGTAGTCAGGCTTGCAGCGATTACATTCTTGGAGCAACATTTTGTAACATGAGTGCTTTATCTCCTGGCTTCTCAACTCTGTTTTAGTTGGATGTGATAAGAATCACATGCACATGTATATTTATTGCAGCACTATTTACAATAGCAAAGACTTGGAACCAACCCAAATGCCCATCAATGATAGACTGGATAAAGAAAATGTGGCACAAATACACCATGGAATACTATGCAGCCATAAAAAAATGGGTTCATGTGCTTTGCAGGGACATGGATGAAGCTGGAAGCCATCATTCTCAGCAAACTAACAGAGGAACAGAAAACCATGCTCTCACTCATAAGTGGGAGTTGAACAATGAGAACACATGGACACAGGGAGGGGAACATCACACACCAGGGCCTGTCCGGGGGTAAGGGAAAAAGGGAGGGAGAGCATTAGGACAAATACCTAATGCATGCAGGGCTTAAAACCTAGATGATGTGTTGGTAGGCGCAGCAAACCACCATGGGACATATAAGAAACCTGCACATTCTGCACATGTATACCAGAAGTTAAAGTAAAATTTAAAAAAGAAAAAGGTAGAAACTGATCTCAGGGCATCTAGAAACAAACAGACAAAAAAAGAATAACCCAATTTGTACAATCAACCTTCACACATGTATCATTCAGGTAGCAAACTATGTAAATGTTTGGAGTAATTTCATAGCTGCATAACCAAAGTAGAGCAGGAGGGCCCAGAAGGGCAGAAGACAGGAACAGGCAGGGACATGCCCAGGCAAAGCCCTGTGGCAGCTTAACAAGAGTTGGGGAACTGAATCCATGTGTGATACGCCTCAAGGAGAAACACTTTCTTTCTTTCTTTTCTTCTCTTTTTCTTTTCTTTTCTTTGTTGAGGCAGAGTCTCACTCTGTAGCCCAGACTGAAGTGCAGTGGTGAGATCACAGCTTACTGCAACCTCTGCTTCCTGGGTTCAAGCGATTTCCCTGCCTCAGCCTCCTGAGTAGCTGGGATTGCAGGCACACACCACCATTCCCGGCTAATTTTTTTTTTTTTTTTTTTTTTTGAGACAGAGTCTTGCTCTGTCACCCAGCCTAGAGTGCAGTCACGTGACTTTGGCTCACTGCAACCTCCACCTCCTGGGTTCACGCCATTCTCCTACCTCAGCCTCCCAAGTAGCTGGGACTACAGGCACCCACCACCACACCTGGCTAATTTTTTCTATTTTTAGTAGAGATGGGGTTTCACTGTGTTAGCCAGGATGGTCTTGATCTCCTGACCTCGTGATCCGCCCGCCTCGGCCTCCCAAAGTGCTGGGATTACAGTCTTGAGCCACCGTGCCCAGCCGAAAATCTTCTTTATTAAAGTAGCTGTGTTAGTCTGTTGGGCCGCCTTAACAAACTACCAGAGACTGAGTGACTTAAACATCAGGAATTTATTCTCACATGATTCTGGAGGCCAGAAGTCTGAGACCATGATTTCAGCAAGGATGGTTTCTCCTGAAGCCTCTCTCCTTGGCTGGCAGGTGCCGTCTTCTCCCTGTGTCTTCACACGGGCTTCCCTCTCAGCATGTCTGTATCCTAATCTTTTCTTAGTAGGACACCAGTCCAGTTGGATTAAGGCTCACCAGATGACCTCATTTTAACTTAATTACCACTTCAAAGACCTTATCACCAAATACAGTCATAGTCTAGGGTACTGCAGGTAAGGGTTTCAACAAATGAATTTTGGGGTAGGAAAAAACTCATCCCATAATAGTGAGATAATTTTATTTGTAAAAAGGTAGTTATAGGTCAAGAAATGCACCTGGAAGTTAAACTTTTCTTTGGAAATAAGAACCCATTAAGAACCCAATTAGGCCCATACAGGCTAATTGCCTGATAAAGATCCACAAAATTATTGTCTAAATAAATGCCTTCACACTTCTCCAATGCTTTACCACAAAAACTCAACATTTTGTGAATTTGGAGTGATTGGGTTCACAGCAAACTTTCCAGCTATATGTGAATTTTTTTGTTACTGATGCCTTATTTAGTAGATTGACCCAGCAGGACTTAATCATTGTTTAAAATGCTTTTTTAAAAAGTGATCAAAATGTATGTCATGGTGTTATAGGCGGTCGGGGGAACGCCATCATTATGCTGTTCCCAAGCTTGTGTCTTTTTAAAATTATTATTATTTCAATAGCTTTAGGGGTACAAATGGGTTTTGGCTGCATGGATGAATGGTATAGTGGGTGAAGTCTGAGATTTTAGTGCCCTGGTCACCTGAGTAGTGTTAATTATACCCAATATGTAGTTTTTAAAATCCCACATCCCTCTCCCACCCTTCCTGCTTCTGAGTCTCCAATGTCCATCATAACACTTTATGCCTTTGTCTACCCATAGCCAAGCCTGCAGCTTAAAGGAGTTTCCATGAGATAGGAAAACAGCATGTTCTGATTATTTCTCAAACTCCAAGACAGAGGTACAGATGTGGTAACCTGGATCTGGAGAAAAAATTCCATTAGTTTTGTTCCAGTGGTTTCTGTCCTCTATGCCAGTTGAAATCTAAGAAAAAACAGTTATTCCATCCTAATGAGTTAAGAATGCTTATTAGAAAATGTATTAATGAGCATGGAATTTAGTAAATATTTGGGGTTTGAAAATGATCTTATATATAATGACATTTAAAAGACTTTCCTACCAAAAATAAATCACATGGATGTACTAAGTAATCTGGAATGAAAGTAACACATATTATTTTTCATTTCAATAGATTCGGGTTAACATTTTGGTTACATTTTTCTCTAATTAGCATTTGAGTGTTAATGTGAGCTTTCCATAAATAGGTGCAAGTTACTTTAACTTTTCCATTGGTTCCCCATGAGAGATCATTGTTGTTCTTATATATGGATCTATTGAGCCCTATACTGTATGTGACACTAAAGCCCTGGGTCTCAGACTTCCTGCTCACGTTAAATATTTACTCTTCTTAGTAAGAGGAGTAAACAAAAATCACAGATGAAAAGCACTTTGAAGGACTCAGAAGATGTTAGAGCAAACTTTCTTTCCCTGTCCTCCTGTTTTCCATGTGGACGCTTCCCTAGTGTAATACTGGCCATCCCTTTCCCTCCAATAGGAGTGAATTCTCTGATTAATCAGTAACAAGGATCTGGCATCCATCTGTTGACATACCTTGACTCAGTGCAGTTAAGGATTTATGAATGAAACACCTCATACATGTTTAGTCACCCTCCCTGTTAGCCAGCAAGCAAGGCAGCATCCTCTCTCGAAGCTGGCTGCCTTCAGAGGGTCTGTTCTGTAAACCAAGGCTGTTTCTCGGACCAACTATCCCAAAACTAGGACGTGCCGAATAAGTAGAAAGAAGTATTTGTCTTATGTTTTAGTCAGAAGTTTCAGATACCAGGATAAAATCACTTTTGTCAGACCTGGATAAAATAAAGTCAGGATAGTATGAAGGAGAGATGGCTCATGCTCACATATGGGAGATAAAAACTGCTTTCAGGGACTTTCTAAAAACCCCACAAGAAACCTTTTTGCATCCTTCATGCATCTCCTGTTTTGACAAGGTTTATCACTAGATATTCTTTAGTACTGCAGTAATTCAGATAAGATATCTCAGAACACTCGCCCAGTAATGACATCTCCACCAGTGAACTGACAACAGCTCTCTGGAACCAATGAATTCTATTTCTAAGCTACTTCTATAAAACTCTCTGTTTTTGCTAATGAAAGCTTCCCTTTGCCCTTCCCTCACAGATACATTAGTGGTTTACCATGCCATGCATTCCAGTTATAATAATTGATTCTTACCCCTGAGTAAACTCAATATACCATAGAAATAAATTTTCTCTAGTGTCTTTTTTTAGGTTGACAACAGAGATGTATAGTAAGATATTTATGAGAAATTGGCTCACGTGCTTATGGAGTTTGAGAAGTCTCACCATCTGCTTTCTGTAAGCTGCAGGCCCAGGAAAACTGATGGTCTGGTTGTAGTCCAGACTCAAAACTCTCATAACCTGGGGAGTCAATGATGTAAGTCTCCATCTGAGTCAGAAGCTGGAGAACCAGTAGCACCAATGTCTGAGGGCAGGAGAAGGTGCAGGTGAGAGCAGGAGCTGGTGTCTCAGCTCAGGGAGAGAGCAGATTTTTCCTTCCTCCATCTTTTTGTTCTCTTCAGGATCTCAACAGATTGGATGGTGCCCACACGTATTGCTGAGGGTGATCTTGACTCAGTCTACCTAAACGTTAATATCTTCCAGGAACACCCTCATAGATGCACCCAAAAATAATGTCCTACTAGTTTATCTGGTCATCCGTTGGCCCAGCCAAGTTGATACATAAAATTAACCATCACAACCTAGCATTCCAACCTCATTCTTTCATCCAGCAATACTATCAAAGGTGATAGACTCTCCTACATCTGTTCCATTCCATTAACCCTAAAACCCCAACAGAAGTCTCCATAACTATGATACTGAGTTAGAAGGCAACAGCCTGTGACTTACTGGGCTGTGTCCTTTGGTGCCAATTTGTGCTGTAACCATATCAAGTCATCTGATGCTCAGAAAGAATGCTTTAGGCATACCTCAACTCAAAGTTCAGTTCTGAACATGGGATAAAGCAAGATGAATTAACATAGATTGTAAGAGCACTTCTTTTGAGAGGCCAAGGCAGGCAGATCACGAGATCAGAAGATCGAGACCATCCTGGCTAACACGGTGAAACCCTGTCTCTACTAAAAACACAAAAAATTAGCTGGGTGTGGTGGCGGGCGCCTGTAGTCCCAGCTACTCAGGAGGCCGAAGCAGGAGAATGGCATGAACCCAGGAGGCGGAGGTTGCAGTGAGCCGAGATCACACCGCTGCACTCCAGCCTGGGCGACAGAGAGAGACTCCGTCTCAAAAAAAAAAAAAGAAAGAAAAGAAAATGAGGCTTTAGCCCCGACATTTATTCTTTTTTTTTTTTTTAATCATACTTTAAGTTTTAGGGTACATGTGCACATTGTGCAGGTTAGTTACATATGTATACATGTGCCATGCTGGTGCGCTGCACCCACTAACCCGTCATCTAGCATTAGGTATATCTCCCGATGCTATCCCTCCCCCCTCCCCCCACCCCACAACAGTCCCCAGAGTGTGATATTCCTCTTCCTGTGTCCATGTGATCTCATTGTTCAATTCCCACCTATGAGTGAGAATATGCGGTGTTTGGTTTTTTGTTCTTGCGATAGTTTACTGAAAATGATGATTTCCAATTTCATCCATGTCCCTACAAAGGACATGAACTCATCATTTTTTATGGCTGCATAGTATTCCATGGTGTATATGTGCCTGAAAGGTCGGGTTACTCTCAAAGGGAAGCCCATCAGACTAGACATTTATTCTTTCATCTCATTTGCTGAGAATGCACGAAGTCCCAGGTCCTGTCCTAGGTGCTGACATCAAACAGTGAACAAGCAAAAGTCCCTGCATCCATGATGTTTCCATTCAAGTGAAGGAGTCAGGCAATAAATAAATAAATATGTACAAAATTGTGACAATTTTATGTATTAACCTGACTGGGCCACAGGATGCTCAGATATCTGGTTAAACATTATTTCTGGCTGTGTCTGTGAGGGTGTTTCCGAAAGAGATTTGTATTTAAATTGGCAGACCGAGTAAAGCAGATGGCCTCCCCAATAGTGAGCGGACATCTTCAAACCCATTCAGGGCTGAAAGTGAACAAAAAGGTCGAGGAAGCCTGAATTCTCTCGCTGCCTGATTGCTTAAGCTCAGACATTGTCCTTCCACTGCCCTCAGACTGGGACTTATCATCCCACACCCCTATTTTTTAGGCCTTTGGACTAGGACTAAACTAAGCCACTGGCTTTCCTGGGTCTCCAGCTTGTAGACAGCAGATTGTGGGACTTAGCCTTCATGAGTTCATGAGCCAATGCCTTGTAATAAATCTCATTTTACACACACATGCACACACACACACACACACACACACACACACACACACATCCTTATTGGTTCATTTTCTCTGGAGAAGCCAAATTTAAAAAATAACATCAGACAGTATTAAGTGGGGACAGAAATCCAAATAAAGTGACAGACAGGTCATCATGTGAAATCTGGAGGGAAAGTATTCCCAGCTGAAGAAACACCAAGTACAAAGGCCCTGAGGTACAGGCAAGAGTGGCATGTCTACTGTTTTGCTACCTTGGTAAAACAAAATAAGAAAAAACAACAAAAACAAAATCACACACACACACACACACACACACACACACACTACAATAATTTGGAATGGAAGAGAAAATATTAGACACCATGAAGGTAACTTTCTACTCTAGCCAAACCCAAGGCTGTCCAGCTACAATTTACCATACTCTAGAACCATTAAGAGGAGAGAAGAAATTGACTTTTAATACTGGTATCTATTAATTAGTGAGCACCTACCATGTACCACAGCGTGAGGCTATTTACATATACAATTGTATATGTACAATACATACGCATATACAATTAGGTCCTTGCGGCCATCAAGTGCCGTAGGAGTTACAATTTCCATTTCATTCTTGAGAATTCCAGAGCTTGTCCTGTTTCCTAATATCAAATTATATACCCTTTGCTGTTTTCAAGGACATATGCTACAGATACATCCTGGCACAATTTGAATTTGGAATAATTATTGTTTTCCTCTTTTATCTAATCTGAGACTAGGCTAAGTGTGACAGAAAGCCATTTCTCTCATACTGCTATAATGTTTGCTTGTATTATAAGTTTTCTGTGTTTTAGTGATGTATTAGAGTGCTGTTCTACAGGGATAGTCAATAAATCCACACATAGTGTGCCATGTGAATCATCATATTGCTTTTTGAAAATCTGTTCTCAAATAGGAGAAAATATAGATATGTGCTAATAATGGTGCATCAATTATTCATTCTTAAAATACACATTAGCTAGGTTTAAAGTTCTATTCTTATGTATAAAATGTCAGAAAGATTAAGAGCTCAGGTTGCAATTCCTGAGAATAACCTCTATTCTAATTTTCCTACACTAAGAAAAATTTTCTCTTAGTGGTTGTATTAGTTTCCTACTCCTGCTGATAAACTACCACAAACTTAATGCGTTAAACAAAAATGTATTATCTTACATTCTGCAAGTTATCAGACCAAAGTAGGTATCACCAGGCTGCAATGAAAGTGTTGGAGGAGCTGCATTTCTTTCTGGAGACTCCAGGGGAGAATGTTGTCTTCCTGACTTTTCCAGATTCTAGAAGCTGCTCACATTTCCATGGCTCATGGCCCTCTGCCATCTTCAAAGCCAGCAATGGCCAACTGAGTCTTTCTAACGTCAACTCCCCCTGACTCTTCCACTTTTCAGGACCCTAGTGATTACATTGGATGCACCTGGGTAACCAAGCTCATTGACCTATTTTAACATTAGTGATTAGCTACCTTTACTCCACCTGCAACCTTACTTCCCCTTGGCCATGTCAGGTAACATTCATAGATCCCAGGGCTTAAGGGCATGGGCATCTTTTGGGGGCCATTATTTTGTCTACCACAGTGATTTTCATTCAAATTTATTCAATTAAATTTTGCTTGTCATCATGGCCTGATTAAACAGAGGTATTTTGATGGACTGCTGTGACTAGAGAGGTGCTATAATCTTCCCCACAAGTTTCCTTTATTTCCAGTATACACAACAGATTTCCATTGATTCTAAGGTAAAAATGCACAATTTGATTTAATTGCTCAGATTTGAACTGTAGCATGGTAGTCTCTTAAAAAGTTTTTTAAATAGCATAGAATTTGGGAGGGGGTTATGCTTGAAGACTGCAATGTCCATATACTTCAGGGTCTCCGAAGAGAATGACTTCACTGCTCATAAATCAGCATCTTTCTATTGATTTAGTATCACTGTGAGTTTGGTAGAGTTGGGCAGCTTGCTGATAGTTATTTGTTTTCAACTTTGCCGAGTATAACAATTTCTTATCTATTTCAGCGGTTCCCAGCAATGCCTAAAACAGCTTTACAGTTTCTAAGTCATGTTTCAATAAAAACAGTCCCAGGGCCCTGAAGTTATAAACTGATTGTAAAAGACAAGCAGTACATGGAAGCAAGAGGAAACATTAACAACAAAAACAACAGCAACAAAACCTGCGTCCTTTCTCCTCTCAATCTTCTGTTCTTTTCTCCCCTCTATGGCATTGTCTCCTATCAAATGGGCCATTGTTGTGGTGGCAAGGTGACCAACTGGTGGCCTAGAAGGCTTCTCGTCCTTTCAGAACCTTTTCACCTTGTGTAGAACCTGGTTGCCTTGATTATCTATGTAGATCTTTGCACAATTTATGCATTCATGGGCCATCTAGAATTAATGACTGACTAGATGCTTTTGTTTTTGAACAAATGTATTAGTCCTTCCACAGCATCGTGTAGTTGTTTCTGCTCCTTGGAAATGATCATAGGCTACTTTCAAATTCTCACAGATTTTTTTTTATTTGTTGTACAAATTTATGGGGCACATCTGCAATTTTGTTACCTGCATAGATTGTGTAGTGGTCAAGTCAGGGCTTTTAGGGTATCCATCAACCAAAATAACGTACATTGTACCCATCAACTAATTTCTCATCATCCACTCCTCTCATTCCACCCTCAGCATTCCAAGCCTCCATTGTCTGTCATCCCACTCTCTACATCCATCTATACAGGTTATTTAGCTCCCATTTATGGGTGAGAACATGTGATATTTGACTTTCTTCCCCTGGCTTGTTTCACTTAAGATAATGAACTCTAGTTTCATTCCAGTTGCTACAAAAGACACCTCACAGAATTTTGTTTCTTTGTTTGTTTGTTTTGAGATGGAGTCTCTCCCTGTCGCCCAAGTTGGAGTGCTGTGGCGTGATCTCGGCTCACTGCAACCTCCACCTCCCAGGTTCAAGTGATTCTCCGCCTCAGCCTCCCAAGTAGCTGGGATTACAAGCATGCACCAACATGCCCAGCTAATTTTTGTATTTTTAGTACAGATTCGGTTTCACCATGTTGGCCAGGAGGGACAGAATTTTAAATGCTTATACATACACATATACCTCTTTATATTTGCCTACACAGAACTAACAAACCTTTGTGAAATGTAACCTACAGGAGATATGATCATATCCAATGCTGGACATGATGCAGATGCAATATACAAATCCATGAGGTAGACCCAGGTATTTCAGATCCTGACCTCGATCTCAGGTTTACTTATTAGACCACAGACCAAAGACTCCCACTGATGTCCCCACAGATTTCACCACCTATTTCTCTTGTCCCACACAGTCTACTCCAAAGTCACCCTCCTCTAGTCCTGTAGGGGATATTCACCTGAGATACTTCAGTGACCCTGCTCACCCTGGAAAATCAGGTGACAGGAATCATCAGTTAAGCCTGTGGACAGTGAGCATCTGTTGGCCTGGATGGTGTGGTGGGTGGAAGGCAGGACCTAATAGGGGCTTTTTATGGTTCCAGCTCCAAACCTCTGATCATGCCAGTCCATGCTGCAGGCTCCCATTCTATTTACGGTCAGGGCCACACGATTTACACTTACTGTCTCAGGTGCTTCTTATAACACTGTCTCCTCCAATTTTTGATAAGCCAATGCTTTTTTGATGGCCCCCCAAAATGCCTTTATCCTAGGCATTTTGATGTTCCCCAAAATGCCTAGGATAAAGTAGTACACAGGATATTATTTGACACCTGTTTTAGAATATATGGCATAATTCTGTTTCAACCTTTGCAACTGATATTCACACACACAAGATGAACTGATGAGCGTTTGGCCTCTCTCGAAACTACAGCTTGGACAACTAGGCTCTTCCTATGAGAGACTTTAAAACTCCTCCCGTGGTTAACAGCAGCTATGCTTATTAGGGCCAGAATGACTTATCTTCTTTTGATCACTCAAGCTGGGAGCCTCAGCCTTGTCAGGCAAATTGTAGTAGAGCTGCGGGGCTTCCTCTTTTCATAGTAGAGGTTGGAACCCTGCAATCAATTCAGCAACATTTCTGAGATTTAATTTGCTATGTCTCAAGTGAAATCACTGAATCTATTATTACTACAAAGCATTGTAGTCTAGTCTCGCTTTTCAAATGCATTATAAATGTGAACACGGCCATTTAATTCCCATTCTACTTAATATATAATGGTTCTGACTTTTCACTGTTTAGTAGAAACTGATGTCTGTAGTGGTCTCTTCTACAGAAGAGTCTTCATAGTGACTTTAGTTCTCAGATTTCTGGGAAATGCCATGAAAAGACTTCTGAATATGCCACATTATCTTCTTCCTTGGATTTGATGCATTCTATAAAAGATAATTTTTCATATCCTTATAAAACAAGGATTATATATATTATATTCAAATTCATAGCTTTTAGATGTATTATCCAGCAGAAATATATAAAATAACCACCTCTGTCTATAATCAGAATGGTAGGAGCATAATTGATATTTTCTCTAGGTGAAAAATTTCCTGAGAGCACGCCTTTGGAACACTGGCACTGCTAATGCTGTTTGTAGTGGTCGGTCCTTCCCATTAGCTTGTTTTTCCCCTTAATTTATCTTCTCACTCAACCAATTTACATATTTGCAATCTCTATAAATAACTGAGCAGTAGCAATTTTATCAAATTTTTTAATTTAAAAAAGCTTTCACCTCTGTCAGCTTACTTACACTACTGCAGGCTTTTCTAATTCTTGCCCTGTTTTGTAGAAAAATGCATTTAGGCAAAATACCTTTAATCTTCTGATTAGTCATACATTGAATACGCTCAAAAACAAAAGGTAGTGAGACGAAGCATCCTGAAACAGGGTAATTTTCAAAAGTAGAAGAGAAAGCTGCACTTCCTAGACTTTTGTATTATTAGACTATCTCACAGTCTCACCTCCACACAGCAGTGAACAAACTACATTATTGCTTTTAACAAAGAAATGGACTTCTTAAGAGACTTCCAAGAATTTTTTCCTTTGTTAGTGGAAACTCACAGTCAAAATATGAATTAACTTACTCCATTAAATCAAATGACTTGAGTTAATAGGATGACTGAGTCTAGAGGAAAAACAGAAAAAATAAGCATAACAGTATTATTATTATTATGTTATCAATAATGGGAAAGGATTATTGTCATTCCTGTAGGGTAAAAAATGGCTACATAAATAATAAAGAAGAATTCTTAATTCACGTGAAATTGTAATTAATAATATGCACATGATTTTTCTTTTTAGTATTATTTGCACTGGAAGAAGAAATGGCTATCCCAACAATAAATTCTAATTATATAATTCATCAAAATATCAATGGGATTGTTGTGGTTCATATAGATTTGGATTATAACTTTTAAAAATGTAATGAAGTTACTATGCTTGTACTATGTTTCAGACACTGCGCAATGAATAAAACGTTCCCTCTAAACTCAAGATACATACAGAATTGTGGATTTAATAAGCAGCACAGTGGAATTAAAATATACAAAAGGAAAAGGAACCAACACACATGTGGGAAATCAAGTATTGAAATTTAGTTGATTTTTCTTATCTCTGTACTTTTGTAAACCCGCAACACCTAGCGCAGCATTAAGTCGGCCTTAGGTAGTGAGCTCTCCCTCCCTTATTCCAGATGCCACTCTCTCCAAATGGGGAAAAGCTTTCCACTTACAGAAGGACCAGTCTTGAGTCAGGAGTAGCCATGCACTCCTGTGAGAATCACCAACTAGATGCAAATACGTATTGACTGACTTGGGATGCCATATGAGGTAAGTGAAATTAGATGCCTGTTGTGGAAGCCCAACTCTGACAATTTTTATTCATGTGGCCCTGAGGAAATCATTAAGCCTCAGTATCTCTTTTTTTTTTTTTTTTTTTTTGAGACGGAGTCTCGCTCTGTCACCCAGGCTGGAGTGCAGTGGTATGATCTCGACTCACTGCAAGCTCCGCCTCCCGGGTTCACGCCATTCTCCTGCCTCAAGCCTCCCGAGTAGCTGGGACTACAGGTGCCCGCCACTATACCCGGCTAATTTCTTTTTGTATTTTAGTAGAGACAGGGTTTCACCGTGTTAGCCAAGATGGTCTTGATCTCCTGACCTCGTGATCCGCCCGCCTGGGCCTCCCAAAGTGCTGGGATTACAGGCGTGAGCCACCACACCCGGCCTTTTAACTTTATTTTAGGTTCAGGGGTACATGTGTAGGTTTGGTATATAGGGTTTGGCATGTCATGGTGTATTGCTGTACAGATTATTTCATCACTCAGGTACTGAGCCTAGTACCCAATAGCTGTTTTTCCTGATTCTCTCCCTCCTCCCACCCTCCACCCTCAAGTATGACCCAGTGTCTGTTCCCCACTATGTGTCCATGTGTTCTCATCATTTAGCTCCCACTTTTAAGTGAGAACATGTGGATTTGGTTTTCTGTTCCTGTGTTACTTTGCTAAGGATAATGGCCTCCAGCCCCATCCATGTACCTGCAAAGAATGTGATCACATTCTTTTTTATGGTTGCATAGTATTCCATGATGCATATGTACCATGTTTTCTTTATCCAGTCTATCACTGATGGGTATTTAGGTTGATTCCATGTCTTTGCTATTGTGAATAGTGCTGCAAAGAACATATGTGTGCATGGGTCTTTATGATATAATGAATTATATTCACTTTGGTATATACCCAGGAATGGGATTGCTGGGTTAGATGGTTGTTCTGTTTTTAGCCCTTTGAGGTATCACCACACTGCTTTCCACACTGGTTAAAAGAACTTACACTGCCACCAACAGTGTGTAAGTGGCTCTCAGCGTGGCTGTTGTTGGTTTATAAGAATGCTAGTGATTTTTTGTACATTGATTTTGTATCCTGAAACATTGCTGAAGTTGTTTATCAGATTAAGGAGCTTTGTGGCAAAAACTATGGGGTTTTCTAGATACAGAATCATGTCATCTGCAAACAGGGATAGCTTGACCTCCTCTCTTCCTATTGGATACCCTTTATTACTTTATCTTGCCTAATTGCCCTGTCCAGGACTTCCAATACTATGTTGAATAGGAATGGTGAGAGAGGGCATGCTTGTCTTGTACCAGTTTTCAAGGGTAATGCTTCCAGCTTTTGCCCATTCAGTATGATGTTGTCTGTGTGGGTTTGTCATAGATGGCTCTTATTATTTTGAGGTATGTTCCTTCAATACCTAATTTACTGAGAGTTCTTAACATGAAAGGATATTGAATTTTATTTGAAAGCCCTTTCTACATCTATTGAGACAATCATGGTTTTTGTCTTTAGTTCTGTTTATGTGATGAATCACATTTATTGATCTGTGTATGTTGAATCAGCCTTGAATCTCAGGGATAAAGCCTACTCAATTATGGTGGATTAGCTTTTTAATGTGGTGCTGGAATTGGTTTGCTAGTATTTTGTGGATAATTTTTGTATCAAAGTTCATCAAGAATACTGGCCTGAAGTTTTCTTTTTTGTTGTGGCTTTGCCAGGTTTTAGTATCAGCATGATGCTGGCCTCATAGAATGAATTGGAAAGGAGTCCCTCCTCCTCAATTTTTTGGAATAGTTTCAGTAGAAATAATACCAGTTCTCTGTATATCTGGCAGAATTCAGCTATGAATCTGTCTGGTCCCAGGCTGTTTTTGGTTGGTAGGTTATTTATTACTGACTCAGTTTCAAAGTTCATTATTGATCTACTCAGGGATACAATTTCTTCCTGGTTCAGTCTTGGGGAGGATGTATGTGTCAAGAAATGTATCAATTTGTTCTGGATTTTCTAGTTTGTGTGCACAGAGGCAGTCATAGTAGTCTCTGATGGTAATTTGTATTTCTGTGGGGCCAGTGGTAACATCCCCTTTGTTGTTTCTAAATGTGTTTGTTTGGGTCTCTCTCTTTTCTTCTTTACTAGTCTGGCTAGCACTCTATCTATTTTATTTACTTTTTCAAAAAACCAGCTCCTGCCTTCATTGATCTTTTGAATGGTTTTTTTGTGTCCCATTCTTCAGTTCAGCTCTGATTTTGGTTATTTCTTGTCTTCTTCTAGTTTTGGGGTTGGTTTGCTCTTGCTTCTCTAGTTATTTTAGTTGTGATGTTAGGTTGTTAATTTGAGATCTTTCTAACGTTTTGATGTAAGTGTTTAGCGCTATAAATTTCCTTGTTAACACTGCCTTAGCTGTGTCCCAGAGATTCTGGTATGTTGTATCTCAGTTCTTATTAGTTTTAACGAACTTCTTGATTTCTTCCTTAATTTTACTATATACCCAAAAGTCATTCAGGAGCAGGTTGCTTAATTGCCATATAATTGTATGGTTTCGAGTAATTTTCTTAGTCATGAATTCTATTTTTAATGCACTGTGGTCTGAGAGACTGGTTAATATGATTCTGATTCTTTTGCATTTGCTGAGGAGTGTTTTGTGTTCAACTGTGTGGTCAATTTTAGAATACGTGCCATGCGGTGATAAGAATGTATATTCTATTATTCTTGAGTGGAGACTTTTGTGTATGTCTATCAAGTCTATTTGGTTCAGTGTTAGTTCAGGTCCTGAATATCTTTGTTAATTTTCTGCTTCAATGATCTAATACTGTCAGTGGAATGTTTCCTTCTCCCATTATTACTGTGTGGTATTCTAAGTCTCTTTGAACATCTCTGAGAACATGCTTCATGAATATGGATGCTCCTTAGTTGGGTGCATATATGTTTAAGTTAGTTAGATCTTCTTGTTGAATTG
This sequence comes from Homo sapiens, assembly GCF_000001405.40. NCBI lineage: Eukaryota > Metazoa > Chordata > Mammalia > Primates > Hominidae > Homo > Homo sapiens. Next base: position 455,310 of record NW_025791789.1, read on the forward strand.
AACCATTTACCATTATGTAATGCCCTTTTTTGTCTTTTTTGATCTTTGTTGGTTTAAAGTCTGTTTTGCCTGAAAGTAGGATTTTTACTCCTGCTTTTTCTCTTTTCCATTTGCTTGGTAGATTTTCCTCCATTCCTCTATTTTGAGTCTATAAGTGTCATTGCATGTGAGATGGGTCTCTTGAAGACAGCATAACATTGAGTCTTGCTTCTTTATCCAGCTTGCCACATTGCATCTCTTAATGGGGCATTTAGCCCATTTACATTCAAGTTTAACATTGATATGTGTGAATTTGATTCTGTCATGTCATTAGCTGGTTCTTATGCAGACTTCTTTGTGTGGTTGCTTTATCAAATCACTGGTCTGTGTACTTATGTGTGTTTTTGTAGTGGCTGGTGATGATATTTCCTTTTTGTATTTATTGCCTTTTTCAGGAATTTCTGTAAGGAAGATCTGGTGGTAACAAATTCCCTCATCGTTTGCTTGTCTGAAAAGGATCTTGGTTCTCCTTTGTTTATGAAGCTTAGTTTGGCCAAATATGAAATTCTTGGTTGGAATTTCTTTTCTTTAAGAATGCTGAATATAGTCCCCCAATCTCTTCTGGCTTCTAGAGTTTCTTTTGAGAGATCCCCTGTTATCTCATGGACTTCCCTTTGTAGGTGACCTGTCCTTTCTCCCTAGCTGCCTTTAACACTTTTTCTTTCATTTCAACCTTGGAGAATCTGATGATTATGTGTCTTGGAGATGATCTTCTTTTGAAGTATCTTGCAGTGGTTCTCTGCATTTCCTGAATTTTAATGTTGGCCTCTCTAGCTAGGTTTAGGAAGTTCTCATGGATGATATCCTGGAATATGTTTTCCAAGTCGCTTCCATTTTCCCCATCTCTTTCAGGGATGCCAATGAGTAGTAGATTTGGTCTATTTACATCACCCCATATTTCTCCAGAGGTTTTGTTTGCTCTTTTTTATTCTTTTTTCTTCATTCTTATCTGACTGTCTTATTTCAGAAAGCCAGTCTTTAAGCTCTGCAATTATTTTCTAAGCTTGGTCTATTCTGCCATTAATACTTGTGATTGCATTATGAAATTCTTGTAGTGTGTTTTTCATCTTTATCAAGTTGGTCATCTTCTTCTCCATACTGGCTATTTTGTCTGTCAGCTCCTGTATCAGCTTTTGTGTGTGTGATTCTTATCTTCCTTAGATTGGGTTTCATTGTATTCCTGAATCTTGATGATCTTCATTCATATCCATATCCTGAATCGTATTTCTGTCATTTCAGCTATCTCAGCCTGGTTAAGAACTTTTACTTGAAAACTAGTGTGGTTGTTTGGCGGAATGAAGACACCTTGACTTTTTGAGTTGCCAGAGTTTTTGCACTGGTTCTTTCTCATCTTTGTGGACTGATGTTCCTTCAGTCTTTGAGGTTGCTGACCTTGGATGGGTTTTCTTTCTTTTATCCTATTTGATGACCTTGGTGTTTGATTGTGGTTTAAGGTGAGTTCAGTCAACTGGCTTCATTTCTGGAATATTTTAGAGGGCCAAGGCTCAGCTCAGGACTCCTGGACTGCATATTCTAACTCTGGGGGCTGGGATTAGGCCTGGCTTTGCTCTTTGGCTCCTCAAGGGGAAACTGCTGTTTTTGAGGGTCTGAGGTGCTCCCAGACCACAGGTCACAACACTCCAATAAGTGATACCAGCCAAAGCACTTCATAGGGTGGTGACAGTGGGATCCATCCTCATTTGCATGTGCCAGCAGCAGTGGCAGTGGCAGTGTGGTGGAGTTTGTGTTCATCAGCTGTGGCAGAGTGCTAGCAGTTGCTGGGATGTTGGCCTCCATGTGGAGCAGTGGTGGCACCATGGCTTGGGGATAGAAGGCCCCTGCCAATAATTGTGTGTGTATCCACACTGGTGGTGGTGTTAGCATGGCAGTAGGGCACTGGTGGACACAGGACTGTATTGCCCTCTGTGCACATTCACACAGGTGGCAGTGCCACTCAGGGCAGGGGTGAGTTTGCTGTTCTCCATGTCCAATTTTGCACTGGCAGCAGTGTTGGCACAGGGGCAGGGTGCTGGTGGAGGGAAGGCTCATAGGCTCCATGCCCACCAATCTCCAGTGACAATGGCAATGTTGCAGTGGGGAGGTGGGAGTGGGCAGAGTGCATTAATGCCAACAGCAGTGGCATGGCCAGGTTTATGTGCACAGGTGCAGTGGTGGGGAAGGGAAGGCAAGGTCTGCCCACACACACACAAACCGGCAAAGCAATGTTTGGGTTGGCCATGGGCTACTGCCTGCAGGCAAAGCAACACAAGAGAGGCTACAGTTGAGGGAGTTTGCAGATGGTGTGTATTCACAGGGATCACTCTGCTAGAGCACTCTGCCAGTTAATTGTAGTCCACCAGCACAGGACCTATGGTTCAATCCCCCAGGAGGTACCTGGGGCCTGCACTGCAAGCAGGCATGGCCAGGATGGGCCCCAGGGAAGGCTAGCAGAACCATGGGGTTCTCAGCTCAGACCAGCCTAGTCTGATGGGCAAGACTGCCCTGCAGAGTTAAGGTCCCACAGATCTCACAGGGCTGAAGTTTCCTATGGGAGCAAGCTGAGCCTCGGGGGATGGGTATCCCTGGTGATGCTCCACTACAGAATTTCCCACACCAAACCCTCTGGGCTCTGCACAGTCTGGGGTTCTGCCACTAATACGTCTCCAAGCTGCTCTCCCTGCCAACTCAAGTGTCCACGGTGCTCAAGGGGTCTCCTCCTGCTGCAATTCCAGAGGCCCATGGTGAGAGCAATTTGCCTATTAAACTCACCCCTTTCGCAAGAGTCACTGGAAGCCAGGAAGGAGTCCTGGTGTGCAGTAGCCCCGTGCAGGGTTCCCAGCTTCCTCCCCCTTCAGCCCAGCACCTGTGTCTTCCCTCCATCCACTCTCAGTACCTTCTCTCTGAAGATCTGCTAGAAGCGTGCCAGTCTTCCCAATGTCCCAGACCCTCAGTGGGAGATGTTCCTCCTGGCTGCGTCTAGTCAGCCATCTTGGAGCAGCTCTACATTCACCATTTCTGTTCATATCCCATTGCCAGAATCTAGTCACAAGCCTGCACTTAATGATAAAGGATGTGGGAAATGCAATCTTTAACTGGGTGGCTCTATGCCTACTTAAAACTTAGAGGTTCCATGACCAAAGGAAACAGAAGAGGGTGAACACTGGTCTATAACAAGCAATCGGTCACATCTACTTTTCACACAGTGCTGTGCATATGCAGATATGAGTAAGGATGGGGGTTATTAAGCACTTGTATTTCACCAATGCACAGCTCTGACTTCTTTCTAGTTCCTATCTTGGGACCCCGGCAGGCGTTATTTCTCTGGGAACTCTTTTGCCATTTCTGCTTTGTTGGTGGTCTCCTGCAGTGCCACTGCCTCTGTGAGGTCAGCTTCATGATGGGCTCATGAGATGATGCTTACAGTCATTCCATGATCCACACTAGCAAGTTCACCAGCTAATCAGTGACTCTTAGTTTTGCATCTTTCAATGTGTATCACTGCAGGACTGTCTTTCATCAAGTTCTTAATTCTATTTATCTTTTTTTTTTTACTCAAGCAAAACATAATAAAAGAGCAAAGCCATTTACTGTTAAATGATAGAAAGCTACCTTGTGCCATCAATCAGACTTAGATCCTGTTTCTTTGGCCAGGAGCCAAGGCATAACAATTATAGTTTATTTTTTAAAGTCATCGTTATAAGGTGCATCTGTTGCCCATGATATCCAGTGATAAGGCACTCATAAATCTTGAAAGGCATTGGGGAGGCAAACTCAGCATGTGCCTTCTCATAACTGATGTGAAGGTAATTACTTTCAGTGAGATGTGTTTGTGAGCCTGTGAGCTCAAGAGATTATCTTTCTTCTGAAACCAAGAAGAATGGCAACACTTGATTCTAGAGTTCCTTTTATAACGAATGAAGCATAGCTGATGAGAATGTATTCAGATGTAAAAAAAGCCATGATAAGCAAACCATGACATCCTAATGGTCCAAAATGCCTATTTAAAACACTTGGCACTGACATCTTTCTACCTGTAACAGCTTTCCATGAGTCATTCAAAATTCCCAGGCTGGCACCTTAGTCCTGTCTTTCTGATCAGGAAAATAACCCTAGTCCTCAAGGAAAAACTAAATTGGTTAAGTGTTTGTTTGTTTGTTTGTTCGTTTTTAGACGGAGTCTCGCTCTGTTGCGGAGGCTGGAGTGCAGTGGCACAATCTCGGCTCACTGCAAGCTCCGCCTCCCGGGTTCACGCCATTCTCCTGCCTCAGCCTCCCGAGTAGCTGGGACTACAGGCGCCCACCACCATGCCCAGCTAATTTTTTGTATTTTTAGTACAGATGGGGTTTCACTGTGTTAGCCAGGATGGTCTCGATCTCCTGACCTCGTGATCTACCCACCTCGGCCTCCCAAAGTGCTGGGATTACAATCGTGAGCCACCGCACCCGGCCCTAAATTGGTAAAGTATTTTACCAAAGATTAGGAACATGGGTGTTTCGTTTTGCTAAAATCTATCCAAGATTAATTATTTCCCTCTCATGCCATCTTAAAGAACCAGACAAAATTGGAAATGGCAACAAGCCTTCTCCTTCTCGCTGTCTTAAATCCACCCATTAGATGATTTGAGCACTCCATCTTCACTGGCAAGCATTTAGAAACGAATAGTATTATTGCAGCCTTCCATGCTGCAGCAAGAGTAACAGGAGACAAGCTAAAGCAGTGAAGCAACCATCATAGTCAGGGACTATAGCTCTGCTCGCTGTCTACCAGCAGAACCCCAGCATCTGATGGTCCCTTTCTTGTCTCCATTCAGAAGAAAGAGAACAGCAGGTCACAAGTGCAGACATGCAGGCAAGGTAGGACAGTATGAAGCTAATAATCACTGTAGCTCATCTCTACTGATACGTGTCTTTTTGACTTAGGTAATAAATTATCCAGTTTAAGTGACAAGTGGTTGGGATTGCTAATCGATAATTTTTTTGTTTTTTCAGCTGACACATGGGTGGAAAATGATGATAAATAAACCCCCAGGGTTCGAGGGGAACAGCCAATCATTATTAAAGCTTGGACCTAATCTCAGATGCTAGGCCACAAATCTGAAGCAAATACCAACAGCAGAGTTATTATGGTCAAAGAAATATTTTTATCTCCAGCATTCAAGGCGCTCTTAGGACTGGTGAATTTTGTTTGCTGAAAGACCTCTTCCCACCAAAAGCAGTCGCCAAACTGAAACTCACAAAAATAGTCTTGCACATGCCACACCAGTATCAGAGGCAACATCTTCCTTTACATACTCAGGATCATAAATGGCATTTATAAAAACATATATGAATGTAAGAAAACATAAATGTTATGAATATCCCTGTTAACAAAGGTAGCTCAGTGGATCGGAAAACATTGGTTCCATTTTCACAGAATCCAGATAACGTCACACAAAATGTTCAATGGCCCATCTCTTCATCATCTTTTTGCTTTATAATGTGTTTTAGTTTGGTTTAATTCTGCTTGACAATGAGGATTCATTCTCATTCTCATCTGTACGCTTGTGCCTGTCATACAGTCTAGAGAGCCGGTGCCTGCCTTTCCCAGAGTTCCCTTCCTCTAGGGTTCTCAGTGCAACCTGACATCTCTCGATGTCAACGAGGTAGACTTGCCTGAGATGTAAAAGCACACACAACACTATTCTCCCTCCTCCCACAGCAATGAACAGAATTGCTGTCTTCAGCAGCCTCTGGGTATTGCCTGTGTCGCCTGTCTCCGCAGTTCTGATGCAAGGTAGCTGGAGTCCACTGTGATTCCCTGCAATATTCTCTCCTGGGCAGCAGCAGCAGCTTCTTGGACCACAGTAACAGTGGCCACCCTGAACAAGAGTGGCAGCCTTCCCTAGCTTTCCCACTCCAGTCCTATCAATAAACACATAACCACGAATATAATCCCTTTCTGCTTGAAATATTTAGAATGCTTTCTATTTTCTGGGCAAACCTGCCTAGTATATGATATACCATCTACTCCCATGACTCAGAAAATGAGCAAGAGAACATTAATGTTTTGTTTTTTAAATCCTCATTTTTAAAAAAGCACAAAGTTAATACCCACTGAAGATGAGTTAATACACACAGTGTTCTTTACACAGAATAATACATGTGCTTTGAATCATCCACTAAAGTTCACATTTTTAAGATGTGAAACCTTGCAATATATATAACACAAATCAGAATCACTGCTGCCCTATTTTAACTCTATTCGTAACATTTATTTTGTGCTTTTTAAACTTCTGACATTTAAAATGTAGTTAATACCGTAAACCCACATGAGTGAGAAAGGAGATTGGGGTTTCCTCATCTGAAAACTTAGTACTTCAGCTCAGTGGTCCTTAGCCTTGGTATATAATATTTCCCTTGGCTGCTTTAAAAAAATGTAGGGGTGGCCAGGCGCAGTGGCTCACACCTGTAATACCACCACTTTGGGAGGCTGAGGCGAGGGGATTGCCTGAAGTCAGAGTTTGAGACGAGTCTGGCCAACACGGTGAAATCCCGTCTCTACTGAAAATACAAAAATTAGCCGGTCGTGGTGGCAGGCACCTGTAATCCCACCTGCTCTGGAGGCCGAGACAGGAGAATCACTTGAACCCGGGACGTGGGGGTTGCAGTGAGCTGAGATCGCGCCACTGCACTCCAGCCTGGGCAACAGAGTAAGTGTCCATCTAAAAAAAAAAAATGTAGGGATGATTTTAACCCAAGAACAATTAAATCAATCACTGGGGATAATAGGTTGGCCGTTATAAAGGCAGCCCAGGTGTTACTAATGCATTGCCGAGACTGGGAACCACCGCTAACACCAGGGCATCTGCAAAGGACCTTGCCTACCTGGAGACCAGAGGACTTGGACTAAGTGATATCCGCTCCTACCTATCACGTCTACAGAGATTGCGCCACTGCACTCCAGCCTGGGTGACAGAGCGAGACTTTGTCTCAAAAAAAAAGAGTGTGTTGTTTAATTTCCACCTAATTTTGAATTTTTCGATTTTCCTTCTGCTGTTTATTTCTAGTTTCATTCCATTCCATTGTTGTCAGAAAAGATACTTGCTTGGTCTGATTTCAATATCCTTAAATTTGTTCCATGGACATGGAATATGTTCTATGTGCACTTGAGAAGAATGTATGGTCTGCTGTTGTGTGGAGTGTTCCGCAGGTGTCTGTTAGGTCTAATTGGTCTATAGTGTTGTTCAAGTCCTCTGTGTTCATATTAATCCTCTGTCTGGTTGATATATTCATTATCGAAAATAAGGTATTGAAATCTTCTAATATTATTGTGTTCCTGTCTATTCAATTCTACCATTGTTTGCTTCATATATGTCTGTGTTCTGATGTTAGGTGAATATTTATAATTGTATCTTATTTTATTGATCCTGATGTCATGTATTGTTTTTCCTTGTCCCTTGTGAAAAGTTTTAGAATTATAGTCTATTTCATCTGATATAAGCATCACAACCTCTGCTCTCTTTTGGTTACCATTTGTATGGAATATCTATTTCCATTTTTTCACATTCATTCTGTGTGTGTCCTTAGAGCTAAAGTGAGTCTTTTGTAGACAGCATACGGTTGGATCTTGTTTCTTTTTCAATCCATTCAGCCATTCTGTGTCTTTTGATTGGAGTGTTTAATTCAATTACATTTAAAGTAATTACTGATAGGAAAGAAATTTTACAATCTCCTGCTGTCTTCTCTTGTGATTTTTTTCAGTGACATGTTTGTATTTCTATCTCATTTTTGTACATCTTTTTAAGATATTTTATTTGTAGTTACCATAGAGATTACATTAAACATCTTATAGTGAACTTGATGAACTTACATGAACTTATAATTATGAACTTAACTTCAATCACACACAAAACTTTACTTCTTTACATGTTACCCTACACACACTTTATGTTCTTGGTGCTATCAATTACATTTTTAACTTTATGTATCAATGTATATAGATTTATAGTTTAGTTATTTTCATGCTTTTATATTTTTAACTACACTAGAATTAAAAATTATTTATGCACCACTATCATAGTATTAGAGGATTCTGTGTTTGCTTAAATATTTACCTTCAGCAAAGAGCTTTATATTTTCATATGATTTCATGTTGCTAGCTAATCTTTTCATTTCATTTTGAAACTCCCTTTAGCTATTCTTCTAAGCCTAATCTAGTGGTGATGAAGTCCCTCAGCTTTTGTTTATTTGGGAAGGTCTGTTTATTTTTGAAGGATAGTTTTACAAGATGTAGTATTTTTGCTAGGCAAGATTTTTTTTTCTTTCAATACTTTGAATATATCATCCCACTCCCTTCTGACCTGTAATGTTTCTGGTGAGAAATCCACTGATAATCTTATGGAAACTCCCTTGTACATGATGAGTCTGTTTTCTCTTGATGTTTTCAAGAATCTCTCTTTGACTTTTGCTTTTGACCAGTTGGTTATTGTGTGTCTTGGTGTGAGACTCTGAGTTCAACTTAATTGGAGTCTTTTGTGATTCCTGAATTTGGATATCCATTTTCTTTCTCAGTTGAGTGGTTTTAAGCCATTATTTCTTCAAATAAACTCTCTTCCCTTTCTTGCTCCCTTCTCCTTCTGGAACTCTCATAATGCCTGTATTGGTCCACTCAGTGGTACCACATAAATCCCACAGACTTTCTTTATTTTCCATCATTCTCTTTTCTATTTGATCCTCTAATTCAATAACTTCAAATGACCTTTCTTTGAGTTCACTGATTCCTTCTTCTGATTGATCACATCTGCTGTTAAATGCTTATAGTGAATATTTCAATTCTGTTATTGCATTATTCAGCTCCATAACTTCTGTTTGGCCTTTATTCTGGTTTCTGTCTCTGTTGATATTCTACATTAGTTTGTGCATTGTTTTCCATTTGTTCTTTTTGTTTGTTTGTTTTTTGTTATTTTGAGATGGAGTCTGGCTCTGTCGCCCAGGCTGGAATGCAGTGGCATGATCTTGGCTCACTGAAAACTCCGCCTCCCGAGTTCACGCCATTCTCCTGCCTCAGCCTCCTGAGTAGCTGGGACTACAGGTGCCTGCCACCACGTCCAGCTAATTTTTTGTATTTTTTAGTAGAGACAGGGTTTCACCATGTTAGCCAGGATGGTCTCGATCTCCTGACCTCATGATCCACCTGCCTCGGCCTCCCAAAGTTCTGGGATTACACGTGTGAGCCACCATGCCTGGCTGTTTTTTTGTTTTTTTGTTTTTTTTTTTTTTTAGATGGAGTTTTGCTCTTGTTGCCTAGGCTGGAATGTAATGGCGTGATCTTGGCTCACTGCAACCTCCAACCTCCACCTCCTGAGTTCAAGCTATTTCCCTGCCTCAGTCTCTTGAGTAGCGAGGACTACAGGCACCTGCCACCACGCCCAGCTAATTTTTGTATTTTTAGTAGAGACGGGGTTTCATCATGTTGGTCAGGCTGATCTCGAACTCCTGACCTCAGGTGATCCACCCACTTCAGTCTCCCAAAGTGATGGGATTACAGGTGTAAGCCACCGTGCCCAGCCTTCCTCTTTGTTTAGTTATATTTCTGTGTTCTCTTGTAATGCATTGAGCTTCTTTAAGGTGATTATTTTGAATTCTTTGTCAAGTAATTCACAGATATCCATTTTTAGGATTATTTTTTCTGGAAGTTTATTTTATTCCTTTGATTGAGTCATGTTTCTATGTTTTTCCATGTGTCTTGTTATTTTTTGCTGTGATGTGTGCATTTAAATATACAGCCACCTCTTCCAATCTTCATAAACTGCCTTCATACAAGGGAAGAGCTTCACCAATCGGCCTGGTTAGAGATTCTGGGGTCCTCCAAAATCTTTTCTGGGGATACATCTTTTCTGAGCTTATGTATCTGATTTCCCAGTTAGAGAGATTTGCAGTTTCTTTTTCAGGAGCTTCTAATCTCTTGCTGACACTGATGTCTGTCTGCAGTACTAGAAATTCTCTGATGTAATATGCAAGCTGCTGAATACCCTATTGTTTTCTGTGACCATAGGCATCCAAAGCATGCAGGTTCTGTCAATGCTCCAAGTCAGGTAAGACAGAACTCTGTTTGTAGGGCAGCCCCCTGACCAAAAAAAAAAAAAAAATACACTGAATTGCTGGATGCATGTTCCACTCTTCTCTTTTTCTTCCAAACGAGTAGTCATGAGCTGGGCATTTTCTCCCAGTCACTCCAAGCTGTACCAGCTCTTTCATGGTGATAAGGTTCTCTGGGGCCGCATCAAACTGCTGAGCAACCTTTTCTTCTCAGCAGTCCCAAGACATCCATACTATACTGGTTCCTCATCACTGCTTCAAGCCAGGTGAGAGGGAAACCAGTCCCTGAGCAGCCCCCTGAAAAGCTAGAACATTAAACATATGTTCTACTCTTCTCTTTCCCTCTCAAAGGAAAAGGCATGAGCTGGCCTTTTTCTCCTAATTTTGCTGTGTTGTGCCAGCTTGGAGGAGCTACTAAGGTTGAAATAAAATAACCTTTCTTACTCATTATAATGTGGCTGTTCTTGGCTTTGAGCTTGCCTGAGGTGCAATGATTTCTTAACTACTTTCTGGAGTTCTCATAAAGGCTTATTGTTGTCAAGTCAGTTTATCTGTGAGTGAATGAAGCCTGGGGCTTCCTAGTCTATCACTTTACTGACATCACTCTCTACTTTCTGTTTATTTCTTAACAAATTCCCAGATACTTCCTCTGGGCCCAAAAGTACCGAATCCATTTAATCCCATCACTTATTCATTATAAGGAGGAAAGCAAGGAGACCATGTTCTACAAGTCATTTCTGGCACTTTATTTTGCATCCACTCCAATATAATAAGTTCATAGTGAGCAGTGGTGGAGTAAAAACTTTAAAAGATGGAGAGAAAAATCTCTGTGTTAATGAGAGTTTTTCCAATTGACTGTGTTAAAAAAGAACACTGACTTTAGAATCAGACAAATAGCAGACTAGCAATCCCAGCTTGACTACTCAGTATGGAATATGGAGAAATTGAAATTCCCTGAGCCTTAATTTCTTCAGTAAATAATGCTGCCTTCACATAAAGTTGATATGAGTGTTCAATAATGAATGCAAAGTTTCTAGCCTAGAACACAGAACACAGTAGGCATTCACAGTAGGCACTCTCCTCCTCCAGTTAGCCAAATTAGATGAAAAGTATTATAGCAAGGAATAAATCATGTGAATAAGTTCAGTATATACCATATACCTATGGAAAAATATTGTATAATCTAAAGACAAAATTTATATGTGCCTAAACTTTCAAATGATGTCTAGTACCTACTTTACATTTTTATAAACCAGCTGCCACATGCCAGGTAATTTGGTTGTTTGTTCTATGCCAACTAAATACCACAGTGAATTAGTGAGGTTTTTTGTTCTTTTTTTTTTTTGCTTCTCACTAGAAAAGTATTTTAGAATATAAAGCCTGAAAAGAAAGGCCAGATATTTGTAACTGACTGAGCAATACCTGGAAGGTTAAATAGGTACATTGAGGGATGTTGGCCAGAAAGGCTTCAAATGTATACCAAGAGAAAAAAACAAACAAACATAGGTGACATTTTGATATCACCATCAGCTTTACTTTAATAAGTAATAATAAAAGACATGAAGACATTGACATGTCTCTATAAATGTACACAATGCCAAAAGAGTTGGACATTATTTATTAGACTTGAACTGAAAAATATGTAAAGTAAATTTGCGTATTGATTCAATCTACCATTGACTTTCAATATGATTTTTAAAATCTCAAAGAAATATTTCCAATTTGAATAATTAATACAATTCATCCTTCAGATCCTGATAGTCATTTAAAGTACCATTAGCAATACCTGTCTACTCACTCCTACCAATTAGGTGGCAAAAAATAAGCCAGAGTCTAAATACCCAGGAATTTTTAAAACTCACTTCAAAATAAATCATCTCATTAAGGCTTTGCACTGCCTATTAAAGGCAGTAATGTAGATATTCAGCAGAAAATGTAACATGGAAAAGGGGCTGAGTCTGACTATACGGTAAAAACCCGTTATTAGAAAACTCTGCAATTAGCTCTCTTCATTAAGATCTGCTGGCTGGGCCGGGCGCGGTGGCTCACGCCTGTAATCCCAGCACTTTGGGAGGCCGAGGCGGGCGGATCACGAGGTCAGGAAATCGAGACCATCCCGGCTAAAACGGTGAAACCCCGTCTCTACTAAAAATACAAAAAATTAGCCGGGCGTAGTGGCGGGCGCCTGTAGTCCCAGCTACTTGGGAGGCTGAGGCAGGAGAATGGCGTGAACCCGGAAGGCGGAGCTTGCAGTGAGCCGAGATCGAGATCCGGCCACTGCACTCCAGCCTGGGCGACAGAGCGAGACTCCGTCTCAAAAAAAAAAATAAAATTAAATAAAAAATAAAATTAAAAAAAAGATCTGCTGGCTGATGGACCAAACACAAAAAAGCAAACAGGTTTTACAGGACTTAGTGCAAATTAATGACAGTTTATATTGCAATTTATTTTGCCCTAGATAACTTCCTTTGCAAAGATGTCAGAGAAAAGGGAGAAGGCAGTATTAACAGACAAATTACAAAATGTGTTACAAGTAACATACAAATATGTGCAAAAGTTCTTTCATTTATTGGTTTATTCACCTTTATGCAACAATTATTGAGCACTTACTATGTGCCAGGAAAGACTTCACAGGACAAGATCTCATGGACAATATATCCTAGTGGGCAAGACAGAAAATAACAGATAAGTAAATATATAAAATAATTTTAAATAGTGATGTATGCTATGAAGAAGATAATCTTATGTTACTGTCCTATCTTGGTAATTTAGCAGTCTCAAACTTTATGAAGCAGGTATAAAGAAAGGCTAACTTACGTGCTTTCATCTGAATCATTACATCAAATGATTGAACCAAGAAAAAGCCTTCCTCAGTTGGCTTCTTCATGAAAGTGACCACATCCTCCTTTCATGGAAACCGTTGGACTCACTCACTGACAGGATTTGACTTATCCTTCATGAATGTTGAAAATAAAATTACAGTTTTTTTGAAGTTTAGGAAACAAAAAAGAGTTTATTCAAGAAATAATGCCTGTGATAAAAAGAGCTCATTTGCACCATTTCTACCTGATTCTGAGTAGGCTAGTTAATGTTTTAGAAATTGCATTTGGGACTCAAGCAAAGCCTTTTGAAATTTAATGTTCTGTATATTCATAAAAGCATAATCAGATGTGTATTATTATTAAAAGTTCCTCTCATGGTTTTCATTTATGGTAAACGGCAATATGAAAGGACATAAAGAATACAAATTGATAAAAAATTTCCCTTAAAAAAAAAAGATTTTAGGATCCCCTTCCTCCTGCAAGACAAGTAGTTTCTGATGAGATTTGATTGACACTATGAGGTCTATGCACCTGGGTTGATATTCGTGTCTGTTTTTGCAATTAGAATACGTATTAGTGCTGACAAGCCTGGAAATTCTTCAGCACTTTAAAAGAAGCACAATTTTAGTCTTGCAAAAAACCTAATTATAATAAACAAAAAAATTATAGCTCTGATCATAGTAACCAGGTTGCAAACTCCTACCCAATAGTAGGAGTTTCAAACAACCTTCATTTAAGTTATTGTATTCACTTCACAGAGGAAAGAAATAGGGCAATTGAGCATTAAACAGTGTTGCAAATATGACTGGAAAACCTCCACCTGATTCAAGGGAAGTGTCTGTCCTCGGTGAAATGGGAAGATTGGTCAGGGGCCTATCCCCCTCTTGGAGGTAAATGAGGCCAAGTATTAATATTATTCTAAGCAGGTGGAGTTCTTACTATATTAGTCGGATAAATTCTAAAAATTAGGTTTATGCTTTAATGAGCTGCAGAAGGTTTGATTTTTTTAATGCTTCAACTGATCTGAATTCCTAACTCACAATACAGAATGGTCTTATGAAATGTCCCTATTCATAAAAGGTGCGTATTTCAATTTCTAGACAATTCATTAGACATTCTTCTCTGTTTAATCCATAAAAATAAAGCCTATTTCATCATGATTTGGATAATTTTGCAAAGGACGATGAGGCATCCCAGAGCTGGTTGCTTGCATAAACTGTTTTCATTTTCATGAATTTGTAAATAAATTACTGCCTGAACAACCAGACTTTTATAAGTCTTCAGGGTAGCTGTATTTAAAAAATTATACATAGTACTCTGACAGTACATTTCTCTAAAGGAAGTCAGAAAATTGTTCAAAAAGTATTTGGATTCAGCTTCTAGGACGTATTTAAGGTAGCAAACCTGCCCACCACCAGAGTATGAAGTAAAACAAGGCTAAGAGTGATAGAAGCATTTTTTTTTTCTTTGAGATGGAGTTTTGCTCTTGTTGCTCAGGCTGGAGTACAATGGCACGAAGTTGGCTCACTGCAACCTCCAACTACTGGGTTCAAGACATTCTCTTGCCTCAGCCTCCCAAATAGCTGGGATTACAGGTGCCCACCACCATGCCCAGCTAATTTTTGTATTTTTGGTAGAGACGGGGTTTCACCATGTTGGCCAGGCTGGTCTCAAACTCCTGACCTCAGGTGATCCACCTGCCTTGGCCTCCCAAAGTGCTTGGATTACAGGTGTAAGCCACCACCCCCTGCCAATAGAAGCATTTTTTAACATGAGAGTCATTTAAAATTGCATGAGATCCTACCACGTAACAAACGCTGCATGCGTGCACTTTATGGGTGCATTCACATATGGCACCTCTTCCAAAGGGCATGCGATTTGGATTCCATGAAATTGAATGTTGCAAACTCATCAAAATGCAACCTTTAAAACTAGTTTTCCAAATGAAGAAACATCATAATACAATTTTATAGGCCGATGTGGAAAGGCTGTGTTAAAGACTGAATGCCTGCTCTCTGACACGTTCATCTTGTCAAGGCTTCCCAAAGGCACTGCAGACTTTGCAGCTGTATTAGCAGTGATTCCTTCGTTTGGAATGCCTGTTCCCATGCGCACACACTCTTGCTGCAGCCACATCATATTTAAAATCTGCCCTGATCCTCCTGGTTGACATCAATGTTGTCACTCCTCTTCATTTTCATAGCATTAAGCCCTATTTTGTACTTAACAGAAAGTAAGTTCGGCACAGAGGGAAGAGAATTGGGCCTATTTTGTTCATATCCCATCTCTGGAGCTGAGCATAGTGACAGGTACACAGAAAGCTCTCATCTGGTATTTTGAATACATTATAACATTTTCCCAGTCTTTTCAACATATTGTCTCAGCACTGGTGGGGGAAAAATGCTGCAAAGGCCATGCTTTTCCAGCCTAAATCTTCCCCAGGACTGGCACAGTGAGTGGCACATAGTAGGGGTATTAGTCCCTGTGGCTGCTTAACAAAGTATCACAGCTGGGCTGCTTAAAATAACAGAAATTTATACTTTCATAGTTCTAGAGGCCAGAATTCCAAAATCAATGTGTTGGCAAGACCACACTTTTCCTGGAGTCTACGGGGGTGGACTGGTTCTTTGCCCCTCCCATCTTCTGTTGGCGTCCCTAACTTGTGGCTGCATTACTGCGGTCTCTGCCTCCATGGGCACTTAAGTTCCTCCTCTCCTTTCTGTGCTTTCTCCCTTTGCCTCTCTTTTATAAGGACACTTGTGATCATAATTCAAGGCCACCTGAATAAAGAAGGTTCATCCCCTCATGCCAAGATCCCTAACTTAATCACGTCTACAAAGACTCTTTTGCCAAACAAGGGAACACTTCCCAGTCCCAGGGATTAGAATCTGAGATCTTTGGATGACCATCTCTCAATCTACTACGGTAGACGTGGAGTAAGTACACGGAGTTTTACCAGTACAAGCACAGTGATACATGATCTGTTGGTTGATTCCATATATCTTGTTTTTGATGCTGTTTGCCAAAAAATATCAAAAGATCACAGCTCTTCTGCAAGGCAGTCATTTAAGCAGAGAAATAAATCCACCGTAACGGTGTTATTTCTCACTGTTGTTTTCTTAGCTGAGTGGCTGGTTTCTTAAGCATAGCCACAGCATCCGATGAACCCTAGAATTTCTGTTGCATTTGCAATCATCTCTCCAGTCACTTGGGTCCTTCTGCACTCGCTTCCTGCTCTGACTTATGTGGCACCATTCCACCATGTGGCAGGACTCCCCATCTTTTTTGTGGCACTGACACGATAGGACACTACACATTTCTAACCTTTATTTTCAACAGATTGTTCCCTCACTCAGCATAAAATTTCATCCAGCATTCTCATCACACGGTGAGGGTTCACTGATTTCAATGGTGTATGAAAATGCAGCTCTGGGCTGGGTGCGATCCGAGCACTTTGGGAGGCCGAGGCGGGTAGATCACGAGGTCAGGAGATCGAGACCATCCTGGCTAACACGGTGAAAACCCGTGTCTACTAAAAATACAAAAAATTAGCCGGGCGTGGTGGCGGGCGCCTGCAGTCCCAGCTACTCAGGAGGCTGAGGCAGGAGAATGGCGTGAACTCAGGAGGCAGAGCTTGCAGTGAGCCGAGATCGTGCCACTGCACTCCAGCCTGGGAGACATACCAAGACTTCGTCTCAAAACAAGAACAACAACAACAACAAGAACAACAATGACAAAAGACTCTCTGTTGTATGTGGCGTCAGAGAAAGAAGCAGATGGCTAAACTGGCCTGTGCTGGGATCCCAGCACTAAAAGCCAGATGGTGTGGATTTCAGTCAGATCTTTCATAACCAACAAATTTGAGAAACAGATGAGGCAGGGCCAAGAACTACTAATTTTTTCATTTTATAAATAAGCACCATTAAGCTTTTCTTCTATAAAGCCTCTTGATCTAACCACTAACTAAGCTATTTGTCTGAAATCCTCAAGTCAATGTAGTAAATAAGCATTTACTAAATTTAAATTTAATAAAATAAGCATTTTTTTTCCTCTTTTGGCCAATTTAGTTCTTTAGAAGTTGGGTTAACAGAAGCCAACTTCACCACCGTCAAAACATATGTTTGCTTTTACATAAGTAGAGGCATGCTGTTACTTCTTTTTAAAAATAGTTTAGGCCAGGCGCAGTGGCTCACGCCTGTAATCCTAGCACTTTGGGAGGCTGAGGCGGGCAGGTCACGAGGTCAAGAGATTGAGACCATCCTGGCCAACATGGTGAAACCCTGTCTCTACTAAAATTACAAAAATTAGCTGGGTGTGGTGGCGCAGGTGTGTAGTCCCAGCTACTCGGGAGGCTGTGGCAGAAGAATCTCTTGAACCCAAGGAGGTGGAGGTTGCAGTGAGCCGAGATTGCGCCACTGCACTCCAGCTTGGCAACAGAGCAAGATTCTGGCTCAAAAAAAAAAAAAGTTTAGTGTAGAAAATAGTACTTTCAGATTGGGCTACCAGTGTACCATGCATAAATGAAAAGTGTCCTGTGTCATTAAACAGATGCATTTAAAAAAAGAATTTTTTTACAGGTCCACAAACAAGTTTGAAATTAGAAGGAAATTGTGAGCATTCAAATAATAAAGTGGCTTAATACAATCCAAATAAGCTGAAATGTTCAATTACAGAGTATAATATAGTAAAAATATAGATCCATGCTCTCTCAGTGCAAGCTGTCATCCCATGTCACAGCATGCACTATACGCCCTCTTCTTTTCTCTTACTAATATCTTTAAAGCTGCACTTGCACCCTTACCCTCACACGATCCTTCCTTACTTGCATGCTTTTTTTTTTTTTGAGACGGAGTCTCGCTCTGTCGCCCAGGCTGGAGTGCAGTGGCGCGATCTCCTCTCACTGCAAGCTCTGCCCCCCAGGTTCATGCCATTCTCCTGCCTCAGCCTCCCGAGTAGCTGGGACTACAGGTGCCTGTGACCATGCCTGGCTAATTTTTTTGTATTTTTAGTTGAGACGGGGTTTCACCATGTTAGCCAGGATGGTCGCGATCTCCTGACCTCGCGATCCGCCCACCTCAGCCTCCCAAAGTGCTGGGATTACAGGCGTGAGCCACCGCACCCGGCCTGCATGCATTTTTAAACTGCATTCAACTCTTTAAATTCTTTTTAAATTTTATTTTTTAATTGACAAATAATACTAGAGGCAATGGTAACCATGAATTCTGAAAGAGATGACTGTTTTATTAAGAGCTTTTATTATTTTATTTTTGATCAACATAAAATAATTATACATCTCTATGGGTTACATAGGGATGTTTTGATACATACAATACAACCTTACTGAATTGTTTATCACATCTAATGGATTTTTGGCAGAGTGTTTAAGTTCTTCTATATATAAGATTATGTTGCCAGCAAATAGGGACAATTTGACTTCCACCTTTCCAATTTGAATAGGCTTTATTTCTTTTTCTTGCCTAATCACCTGCATAAGTTGTTATTGGATACCCACTAGATACTAGGCTGTTTGTTCTATGCTAGATGCTATAAGAATAGAAATATGAAAAAAAAATACCTACCACAAGGAATTTTAGTCCCATGGGCCAGCCCTAAGGCAGAGAGCTAGCTATGAGAGATATTGTGAATGGTACTAAGTGGCCAAGGAACACAGAGAACAGAGATGTGAATTCACATTCACAAGGGCTGGAGGAGGAAAGAGGCAACTGGTAGGTACGTGGCATTTCTAGGCCATTTGGTGTTGGTTAGGCTTTGAGTAGACAGATAAGAAAATAAACGGGTTTTCAGTTGGGAGAACGGTATACCCACAGTATGAAGGCAGAAAGACTCGAAGGTTGTCTACCAAACAGCTTTCAGACCAGTGTGATCCAGGAGACTGGGAGAACTCTCTGAAAAAAAAAAAAAAGAAAGAAAGAAACAGCATAAGTCGGATAACAAGGACCAGACTAAGGTTGGAAGTTTATTCATTAGACCCTAGAGACCCATCAAAATGTTTTGAGCAGCGTTATATTAGATGGGTATCAAATACTTCTGGAATCCATTGGTACTGGATTCATTATATTTTAACCACTCCACCAGGCCTACCATTAGTTACAACATGAGAAGCTAAACGTTATATTCTAACCAACACTTTATCTCCAGTTTTTGCAGAGAAAGCAGTCTGAGCTGCTGCTTTGACTCCACTCAGTAGTTTGTGATTAGTCTGAAATGCTCTACTGCACAGAGCAGGGTCAAGCACATTTCATACACTTGTTTAACAAGTAGCACTCAGGAAGTATATTTTCTGATCCACTTCATAGTATCACAATGCAAGCCGAAAACAATGACTGAAGATGGCAAGATAAAACTATTTGTAATGGAAGCAAATATAAGTTATCCACTTTTATTATTCAGTCCTCTGTTTGGATGGAACACATGAATATTAAAATGGCTGTATTTCATTCCTTTTCAAAAGTAGTAAGAGAAGGATAATCATATGCAATAAAGCATTTTCGGCCTGGGTCTTTATGACAGCTCTAAATGCCTGCCACATTTTAAATACCACAGGTGCAAAACAAATGTATAAATTCCCTGTTACATAATTTTCCATTTATATTGTAGAGAAACAAAATACAGTGTAATGGGGAATTTAATTCTCTGAATAGAAATTATATAATCTCAGCAAGAAAATTCAATAACAGCTTCTACACAGATGGCAAAAATCTGCTGAAAGATCCCAAGAGTAATGGAAGACAACTGGAATTTGCATATAAGATTGGATATCACCTTTCCAAAGCCGTGTCAATAATTTAGTTCCAATGTTTTCTGCGTGATTCACTAATTTTATAATTATAATTTTTGGCAGAATATGGGCTACTCAAAATGGTCCAAATGCAAAAAGTAGCTTTAAGCAGAACATGAAGTAATCTATCATCTTTTTATAAGTAAATAAATAATAATCACATTTGCTATTATTCATATGCTTTGCAAGTTTAGTATTTCTTTGTGTCCTGTAACATGTTCCCTTCAAAGTAATGGAAGATGGAAAATAACAACAATGAAAAGCTGGAACGTGCTCAAAATTTTGACACATCAGCAACACCACCAGTTAAATCCACATACTGCACTAAGATATACAGTTTAGTGAACAGTTGTCAGGCAAATCTATTGTGTGAGTGAACCAGCCAATGTGTTCAGCACTCTTATAACAACTAGTTTAGAACATTTTTTGATTGAGTAACCTGAAGACTCTAGGAGACTGAGAAGTGTGCAGAGACCCAGCCAGTAAAGATCTGGGACAGAAATTAAGAACGTTAGACTCCAGGTTGAGTGTTCGCTCCACGACACAGCAGAAGGGAATTGGAAAGACCCTTGTTTTTATAGTATCTTCATTGTCATAGGCTTCCTAAGAAGAAGAGTTCTAGGGGTAAAAGTCACCAAACGCAGAGGGAAAGTAAGTTTTTTTTCAGTGCTTTTTAATTAGCAAACTCAATAATGTTGGCAAATACATATATTCATCCCCTGAGCTGAGTCAACACAATCTAAATGAAAGAGAATCTGGGGGAGCATAAAGGAGGGAGGCTGTGAATTAACCAGCCTGGGGAAGCCTCAGACATCACTGATCAAGGTGGCCTAAGCATCTCCTGCATCCCAGCACATGTTTGGCTGTGGAGACACACTGTTTCAGAAGGCATACACACAACCACCAACAAAAACAGGTCTAGGTGGGTATTTTGCAGGGGAGACTCACAGGGCTTTCCTGCAGTACCATCTCCTCTCTTTATAAAAATTTAGAATCTTGTTCTGATTAGTCCAAACCCACAACCATGCCCTTCTCCCATTTTATCTGTTTCCCCCCCTATTTGGGAATAAATCTTATGGTTTAAATTACTTTGACAGATAAATGCCAGTCCAGCATCAGCAAACCTGGTGGGTTGCCATAAGCTACTGGCAAAGTGCAACCACCAGGGGCGCCCGAAACCTGTGGAGGCGGAGATTGTGAGTTTGTCAAAAACAAGGACACCCTTAAAGCAGGCGCATTGCTGGGTGTGAAGCAGGGGAGGGGGCTTTAAAAAGGCCGTACCTTGGTCGGGCTCGGTGTTCACACCTGTAATCCTAGCACTTTGGGAGGCCGAGGCGGGCGGATCACAAGGTCAGGAGATAGAGACCATCCTGGCTAACACGGTGAAACCCCGTCTCTACCAAAAATACAAAAAATCAGCGGGGTGTGGTGGCGGGCGCCTGTAGTCCCAGCTACTCAGGAGACTGAGGCAGGAGAATGGCGTGAACCCAGGAGGTGGAGCTTGCAGTGAGCCAAGAATCGCGCCACTGCAGTACAGCCTGGGCGATAGAGCAAGACTCCGTCTCAAAAAAAAAAAAAAAAAAAAAAAATCCTGTCCTCTATATATTGTCTCTTTTGGGATTCCACGAAGATGACATGCTAGTGTGGGACTGGGTCTCACCTCTCACCTGAAACCGGGAGCTGGAGGTCAATAGTCGTAACCTGGAAGTGCTGGCTGGCAAGGTTTTGGAGCAGGCTCATATAAGGGTGGTTGGAAGGTGCAGTTCTTGAGGGTACGGCTGCTACAAAAAAAAATACAATAAAATGCAATGCAATATGTGGGACATACTTATACTAATTAACAGTATTTGTCATTTATCTAAAATCCAAATTTAACTGAGTGTCTTAAATATTCATTTTCTAAATCTTGCAACCCTACTTGTGGTAGAGTGGGGAGGAGTCACAAAAAAAGGAGGTAAAAAGTCTCCGGGTCTGCTGTGTCGGAGAAACAGAGGTTAATACAGCAAGAGTCTGGGCTGGAAGTGGAGAAGTGGCTGAGATAAGAAGGCCCCTTACCTGACTGCCCTGGATTTAGGGGAATGGATGCTTCACAGTCTGCCCTGGGCATAAGAGTCAAGCAACATTCCTATGATAACCTGAAGAGTTCCATTTTTAACATACTGAATTTTGGATGGTGCAATTAATATCTGTTACACAGTTACCACATTGCAGTGTATCGATCATTTGCACTAATATCTAATTAAATTGTAAGTTCTGGCATTTTATCTTTCCATACCCATATCCTTGGAAAATGCTAGGTACATATTTGTGCTTGCTGATTTTTGAAAAAAAATTCAAAAAATTTTTTAACACATTTACTAATTAACCATAAACTCAGTATCAACCAGTGCTAAAACAGGGAAGAGGGCATGCAGCTACCTGGATATGGCACACAGCTACCTGAACAGACAATATTACAGGAAAGGCAATATACATGGAAAGTCTCTTCTCTCTGCACAAAAACGTATCTCAGAAAATAGTTTTTTCCCTGAGTTCCTGGCTCTGACATTAACAAAGGCAGACTGAGGGTGTCCCAGGTGACATACAGGATGGTGGGGGCTACTGACGCCTTTTCATGTGTAGAAAGATTAAAAGAAGGAAAGACAGGCCGGGCGTGGTGGCTCACGCCTGTAATCCCAGCGCTTTGGGAGGCCGAGGTGGGTGGATCACGAAGTCAGGAGATGGAGACCATCCTGGCTAACATGGTGAAACCCCATCTCTACTAAAAATATGAAAAAATTAGCCGAGCGTGGTGGTGGGCACCTGTAGTCCCAGCTACTCGGGAGGCTAAGGCAGGAGAATGGCATGAACCCGGGAGGCAGAGCTTGCAGTGAGCCAAGATCGTGCCACTGCACTCCAGCCTGGGCGACAGAGGGAGACTCCGTCTCAAAAAAAAAAAAAAGGAAGGAAAGAGAGAAGACAGGAATTAGGAGGTCGTTAGAGACTGTGACATTCACCTGCCAGATCCAGATCCAGGTGAATCTGACTCTTTTTCCAGAAGCCCAGTTTTAAGCATTCAAAGTGCCCAATAATGCAAGACAGCCTCGCAACGGTAACGGGGACCAGGGCTCCTGGCCACTGGAAAAGCTACAGCTGATTCTAGGGGAACAGCCAACAGAGATGTAATACATACCTGCATTTGGGAGGAAGCGAGGACCAGGCATCATTAAAGGCTTGTCTACATTTAAGTGTCTGTGGTTCCAGATGAACCTGTCCCAATGCTTCCCTCACCATTCTCTCTTCCTCAAATCAAGATGGACATAAAACTGAATCACCTCATTACTTACCAAACATTACAGTGAAAGTCTCACTCACCCTCATAATTACTTAAAAAAACCTGCACTTACATGATTCTGAATGGGCAGATAAAAACATTGTATGTTCTGGCTTTATCAGAGGACTGAGGTTAAATGTGACAAGAACAAGCTCAGCTCTGCCCGGGGGATGAAGGGCCTGCCTGTCCCCCACACCCCGGGGATGTGGACTCCCAAAGGTATTCAGACACCTCTATCGCTCCCTGCTGTTCAGGGACCAGTGAATCTTGCTTGTGTCCTGCCTTAATTCCACTTACGACTTTTCTGACGATTGGACTTTATCATCTTTACATTTGCATCACTGCATCTGTGTATATGTCTGTAATATTTTTATGTTTCTCAAAACACTTTATGTTGTTTTTATTTATTCTAAAAATCGTAAGTGGAACTATAACAGAGTAATGATGCAAATTTCACTCACAATTGAAGATTTAAAAATCCAAGCCTCGGTTTTCTTTTTTTTTTTTTTTTTTTTTTTTTTGACATGGAGTCTTGCTCTTGTCGCCCAGGCTGGAGTGCAATGGCGCGATCTCGGCTCACCACAACCTCTGCCTCCTGGTTTCAAGCGATTCTTCCGCCTCAGCCTCCCAAGTAGCTGAGATTACAAGCGCCTGCCACTACGCCCGGTTAATTTTTGTATTTTAATAGAGACGGGGTTTCACCATGTTGGTCAGGCTGGTCTCAAACTCCTGACCTCAGGTGATCCGCCCACCTCAGCCTCCCAAAGTGCTGGGATTACAGGTGTGAGCCACCGTGCCCGGCTTGGGTTTTCTTTCTTCTTTCCCACAAAGGTCAGTAGGAAACTGTTTGCAACAGGAAATGCCCTGGTCTCCAGGTGCTGCTCCAAGAATTGGCTGACCCATTGCCATGTGTCATTCAAGTGACAGTGTTGAGGGACTAAATATGTCATTCCACGGTTAAAGTTGGCTACAACAAATTTGGCAAGAATTAAAGTGTAAACATTTCGGGGAACATTGTACAATTAAAGCATCAGAAATAAATGGCAAAACAGTTTGCTGCTCCTATAGTCAACCAAATGAAAGTTTAAAACAATAAAGAAACATTAAAGTTTCAGGCCAGGTCACTACTATTAAAGGTTTGTCCATTTCACTTAGAACTCAGTTTCTCTAGCTCAGTATTATTGATATTTTGTACCTGATAATTTTTTTGTAGCAGGGGACTGACTGTCCTGAGTGTAGTAGGACTTTGCAGGCCCTCACCTCTGTCGACAAGATGCCATTTGACTTTGATGAAAATAGGCTACCATGGCCGCAGTTGCCCTTGGATTCCAAGGCAGCGGAACATGAGCAAAAGCTTGGAGCCCTGTCACTTGAGATGGTCCTCAGTGATAAAGAAACAAATTATTTCTGGCCAGGCGCGGTGGCTCACGCCTGTAATCTCAGCACTTTGGGAGGCCGAGGCGGGTGGACCACGAGGTCAAGAGATGGAGACCATCCTGGCCAACAGGGTGAAACCCCGTCTCTACTAAAAACACAAAAATTAGCTGGGTGTGGTGGCGTGTGGCTGTAGTCCCAGCTACGCAGGAGGCTGAGGCAGGAGAATGGCGTGAACCCGGGAGGTGGAGGTTGCAGTGAGCTGAGATTGCACCACTGCACTCCAGCCTGGGCGACAGAGACTCTGTCTCAAAATAAATAAATAAATAATAATGGTAAATTCTATCATGTATATTTTACAACTTTTACAAAGGCATAAAACTTCATAAGAAAATACCTTCTTTGGAGGCAACCTCTGCAAAAGACAATGTGGCTTTGAGGGAACAGGGCATGGTACTGCTGAGACCCAGCAGCGGTGCCAGTGGCCAGGCTCCTGCAAGCCCATCTGTACCCCGATCCCAGCTCTGCCAGCCCGGGGCTCTGCTCTGGGCTCCCCACCAGGGCTGCAAATTGATAAAGCAGCTCTACACATATGAAAATATCTAAGAAACATAAATGATTCTCTAACTTGTATATTATGAATAATTATCCCAAAAGAGCATTTCCTCTTATGTGTGACAGATGTCAGACCATCAATATAGGAGTGTATTAGGGTTCTCTAAAGAAAGGGACCCAATAGAGGAGATATAGATGTATATCGGGTCCCAGAGATAAATACACAAATATTTGTATGTGTACATATGTATATATACAGGAATCAGTTCACGGGATTCTGGAGGCTGCGAAGTTCCATAATCTGCCAACTGAAAGCTGGAAAATCAGGAAAGCCCACAGTGCAATTAAATCTGAGTCCAAAGGCCTGAGAATTAGAGCACTGCTGTCAGAGGGCAGGAGAAGAGAGATGTCCCAGGCCAAATACCAACAAGGGATTCCCCTTTCTCCGCCTTTTTGTTCTACTTGGGCCCTCAGTGGTTCGGATGATATCTGCCCACATTCGTGAGGGTGATCTTCTTTACCGAGTCCACCAATTCAAATGCTCATCTCTTCCAAATCACACTCACAGACACACCCAGAAAGAGTGTTTGGCCAGCTGTGTGGGCATTCCGTAGCCCAGTCAGGTTAACAGATAAAAGTCACCATTATGAGGGGAAAGAGCAAGTGGGGACGTATGGACTATGCACCCTCACCTTCCCAAAGTGGGGACTATCAAAAGTAGATTGAGTTAATCATGCATAATGCAAAATGTAAATCAAGGCTCTGCTTGTTTCATGATAGTATGAAAGATAGTATAAAAGTTACAGTTTTGGCCGGGCGCGGTGGCTCACGCCTGTAATCCCAGCACTTTGGGAGGCCGAGGCGAGTGGATCATGAGGTCAGGAGATCGAGACCATCCTGGCTAACAAGGTGAAACCCCGTCTCTACTAAAAATACAAAAAATTAGCCGGGCGCGGTGGCGGGCGCCTGTAGTCCCAGCTACTCGGGAGGCTGAGGCAGGAGAATGGCATGAACCCGGGAAGCAGAGCTTGCAGTGAGCCGAGATTGCGCCACTGCAGTCCGCAGTCCGGCCTGGGCGACAGAGCGAGACTCCGTCTCAAAAAAAAAAAAAAAAAAAAGTTACAGTTTTTAAAGATAAAACAAACACAAAGTAAACAACAAACAAACAAAGCTCAGAGGTTGGAAAGTTTTGTATGAACCAGAATTAGTAGAACTTGTCCTAAACGTGAACTCCGGACCTCCTCATAAGTAACTTAGTCACGCAACAACTGTGCTGAAGATGAACAAGCATAAATGTTGAGAATTGTTTGGTTTTCAAATGCAGAATCAAATTAGCTGTAAAGTCATTTCATTATGTAAGCTACGCTGCGTCTCTCCCTATGGTAGTGTATATATGATATTATGGTAAAAGGAAATGGAATAGAGCAGCCTTAAAACCCTTGATTGAATCCAACAAGTCTGGGACAATTACCTCATTCCTCAAATATTTTATTTAATGTCCTGGTGGTATTCACACTCTCATCCCCTAATGTAATTCTGTTTTATAATCAGTATTATCAATGATAAATTGGTATCTTTAATCATAATGAGAATTGTAGGCAAATCTTCTCCCTGCTTCAATAAGAAATCTAATTTTTCTTTTAGAAAAGAAAGGATGTTTTCCTCTAGTGATACATATAACTACACTTCTTATTAAATAATTTCAGCTCTCTTGTGTTTTCTAAAGCTTTCATTTTGCAGTTCAATAGTACTTAAGGTAGGATTGAGTCCCACATCTGTTTTAGCATGCTGGTGCCGCCAAAGTACCACAAACTGGAGGCCCCAGACAACAAAAATGTATTAACTCACAAGTTCTAGAGCCAGAAGTCCAAAATCAAGGCTTTGGCAGTGCTGGCTTCTTCCTGGAGGTTCGGAGGGTGGCTCTGTTCCCTGCCTCTCTCCTGGTGCTTCCCAGCAATCCTTGGCCTACAGCTGCACTAGTGCAGTCTCTGAGCTGTGGTCCATCATGCTTTTCCCTTTGTATCTCTGTGTCTCTTCCTATGAAGACAGGAGTGATTGCAGGAGGGCCCACACTGATCCAGGATGAGCTCATCTTAACTTGATTTTTCTGGCAAAAACCCTATTTCTCAATAAGGTCCCAAGCTGAGCTTCCAGCTGAACAGGAGCTTTGGAGGGACACTATTCAACCCACATGACCTCCCTCTTCTGAAACCAATTTCTAAATAACCTTTCTTGTTATATTTTCCATTGATTTCTGGTTTCTTGCTTCAGTCCATCAGTGTGGTGGTGGATGAACAGCAGTGGCCGAACAGTTTCCATGATCCTGTTAGCACTTGTTCTTGTTACACTCCTTGTCCCTTTCTCTTTCATGGCCTTTGTCACTGTTCAACAGTCAGAGGACTGATGCTAGGTGGACCACCAATACAGCCTGTCCACCAAACCTCAGTGGTCCATCCAGATGAGCAGGGGCGAACTAGAACCCTTACCTGGGACTTAATCTTAGAATTACACAGAAAAGCCTTTTTTCTCTCATCAAAAAGCCTCAACACTTCAGCTGCTATGGCATCAGCCTTATGAAGAAGCTGACCTGGGAGAATAAAGCCAGCACAAGAGAGAATCATAAATGAAAGATAAGAGAGTCCCAACAGCACCCATGTTCCTAACTTCACACATTAAAGCCAGTTTCAAATGACCTAAGATCAATCCACTTTTTTTCTTAGTATTTGCTAATTGCAACCAAAGAATTCTGACTAAAATAGACATCGGAGGTGTTGTGTTATGTTTTCCCAGAGTTGCCACAACATATTATCATAAACTAGGTGGCATGTAAACAGAAATTTATTGGCTCACAATTCCAGAAGATCAAAGCCTGAAGTCAGGTGACAGCAGGGCCATGCTCCCCCTGAAGGCTCCAGCGGGGAATCCTTCCTGCGTCTTCCTGGCTTCAGGTGGTTGCCAGCAATTCTCGGCTCACAGCTGCATCACTCCAATCTCTCCCTTCATCACTGCATGGCCTTCCACCCTCTCCGTGTCTCTCTGTCTTTCTGTGTCTCCAAATCTCCCTCTCCTTGTAAGGACACCAATCATTTCATTTGGGGCCCACCCTAATCCGATATGACTTCATCTTAACTTCATTACATCTACAAAGACCCTATTTCCAAATAAAGACACAATTCCAGGTTTTGTGTCTACTACATTTACAAGTGACGAACACTAAAATTTGATCTTGGCTGATTCAAGGTGTGACAGAGAACCTTGAATAGGCTCAAGGAGGCAAAACTACTTTGCTGCTTAGTGCACTGTGCATTAAGTTCTTCCCTTTTGTCTCTTGGGAGTCAATCCCCATGCATTCTGAAATGATTTAGGGGACCTTGCAGAAATCAGTGTAGTCAATTGTGTCAACTACTTCCTAAGAAATTCAGTAAGATGCAGTGGAAGCTCTAGAGAGAAGCCACAGGCTCAGCCAACCTGCCTAGACACAGAAATGGAACAGGTGAGCAAACATGCATGGGGAGTAGCATTTAGCCCATGTCCAAATAGATAACACCATTTAAGGACAATCGTGCAGTGACCAGGAATGAGGACACTCAGGAAGCAGCAGAGTGGACTCCCTTGGGCAAAGGGCAAGGC
This sequence comes from Homo sapiens, assembly GCF_000001405.40. NCBI lineage: Eukaryota > Metazoa > Chordata > Mammalia > Primates > Hominidae > Homo > Homo sapiens. The sequence continues at coordinate 483,918 of NW_025791789.1, forward strand.
AGCTGCTGCTGTCAAGGGGCAGAAAAATCCCAGGCCGATCCAGACTTAAGATGTGGTTTGTATACTCTCCTTGCTGTGGGAGATTGGATTATGGTCTATCAAAGATTCACTCTATTCTCTTTAACCTCCATGACAGAAGCATACTTCTCTCCCCATTGATGTTGGCCAATGAGCATTAACAGACTTCACCCAAGCAGGGGCTTGAAATGCTCATGAAATGCCTGTCCCTTGTGCTTCTGCCATTGCCCCAAGGAGAGCACATGCTAAGCAGCACGGCACGGGAACAGCTACATGAAGCTGACTTGAAACCCACCTGCAGCCTGGAGCCAAGCCCAGCCCTGACTTAATCAGCTTAACTCCAAGCAACCTGCTGATGTGCGAGCAAGAAATCAATGGTTGTTGGCATAAGCCATTGAGTTTGGGGGTGGTTTGTTATGCAGCATATTTGTGAGAATAGCTAACTAATAGAATAGCTAATAGAGCTCTGTTCCCGAGATAAAATGGATAGACAACTGATTAGAGCTTTAGAAATTGTATCGTTTTCCAATCCTGGCAAACAGGAATTCAAACCTTATTGTAATTATATTTGCTGAGCCAGAAACATTTCTCTGCCAAAAAAATAAGTTTAAAAATGAATATTCTTAGCGATCCCTGGCCCAAATAAAGCATGATACACATGCTGAGCTAAGTTGCATGTTCTTTATACATTGCTAAATAAGAATTTTCATTATCCTGTTTTTCCTCTACTGTTTCATTTCAGATGGTTGGGTAGCTAAATTTGATATGTTGGCAGGATCCCATGAAGCTATTCATCCAGAACTGACCCAGAAAACAAACCTTGGCCACAGTTCTGAGCTCAGAGTTAGACCCAAAGCTGCCTTGCTTTGACATTCATCCTTCCTCATCCTCAGCCTGCCTGTTCCCTGGAGGGTGCTCCTGCGTGCCCTCCTTACGTGGTGCTTGTGTGCCCACCTGCACCCCAGAAGGAGCTCCCAGCTGGCCTGTTCCAGCCCCATGTCACCTCCTACCAGCTTCTGCCCGGGGCAACCCAGAGAACCTCCTCTCAAGCTGGTGAGCTGCAACCACACCTCCAATGAGTCAGAGGCCCAGTCTTGGGGAGTGGGGCCCCTTTTCAAGTTTGTTTCTTCCTTGGGGACTCTCCCAGAGCCCAAATATTTTCTTCAGGTACCCCTTTATTGTTAACCCCATATAACATTTAATATTATTTATATTGATTTTCCTTTCCAAATTACTATGTGGTTTCTGTTTCCTCATTGGATGTTGATTGATTCAATTGCAGAAACTGATACAAGTTTTTCCTAAATAAACATTAATTTTATTAGTGACAGTTACTATTCTCTGGAAACCTAAATGACTTAGTTTTCTTTATTAAAATGTTTTGTTTAACAGCCTAAGCTAGGTAATTTCAAGCTTATTAATTTTCACTACATTTTATTTCAAATACACACTGGTGTATGCAATCTCTCCATCTCAGACTCTATTTAGCTCTCCCAAGCTCCACCGGCCTCACTGTCTCCCTCTGTTTCTAAAGTGGCTAACCCACAGCACAATGTACACAGAGTTTGCGAACACCCTAACCATACTGATCTGAGGAGTAAAAGAAAGGAACTAACAAAATTTTTTTGATTTCTATATTGTTGTTTAATTTCTATAACAACTCTACATAATAAAGTTATATTGTGAAAAAAGCTTCAGATTAATTTGCTCAGAATCATGTGATCATAAGCAAACCTCTATCCTTCAAAACATTTTTTCCACTGTCATGCAACTTTTTCATTAATATTATTTTTAATTGAAAAATCATCATTGTACACATGTATTGGGTACAAAGTGAAGTTCTGATATATGTACATGATGTGGAATGTTAAATCAAGTCAATTTACGTATTCATAATGTCACTTATTTTCTGTGGTGAGACATTTGAAGCTTACTCTTTGAGCATTTTGAAGTGTACTTTTAAAATGGTGGGATCATCATCTGGACTATACAAGAAATCTGTCAGTATGGTTATAGTTTCATAGAATTCCTTATATATGTGCACTAGGCAAAGAGATGGGAACAGAGTATTATTAAACTGGTGACTAGCACACAGTAGATTCACAATAAATACTTATTGAGTAAATAAAAAAAAACAGAAGAGTACAAAGTGAATCTTAGAAGTTACAAAAAAGGTGGCAAATTTGGTCTGGAATCCAAGCAGCAGAGGAACAGGTGGATAATACGCATTGTTAATTTCAGTATCTGAAACTCAATGAATAACGAAAGCAATAAAAACAAAAATGGCTGCCACTTATTGAGGATTTACATATGCCAGATCTCTGTCATATTATTTAACCTTCAATGAAAACTTATTGGAATATAGCCTGTCATTATTCCCAGCCTGCAGATGAGAAAATTGCGGGACATGACCTACCTGGAGACTCAGATTAAGTGGCAAAGTCATGACTGAATCAAAATTCAAACTTTTGGCCGGGTATGGTGGCTCATGCCTGTAATCCGAGCACTTTGGAAGGCCGAAGTGGGTGGATCACCTGAAGTCAGGAGTTCGAGACCATCCTGGCCAACATAGTGAAACCTCGTCTCCACTAAAAATACAAAATTAGCCAGGCGTGGTGGCACATGCCTGTTATCCCAGCTACTCGGGAGGCTGAGGCGGGAGAATTGCTTGAACCCAGGAGGTGGAGGTTGCAGTGAGCCAAGATCATGCTCCATCCAGCCTGGGCAACAAGAGCAAAACTCCATCAAAAAAAAAAATAAATCCAAACTCTTAGCTACTGCCCTTATACTAATTGTCAAGAAAGAAGAAAACACAACCCAAATTCTTGAAAGGAACAGGGTGTGGGCAGCCAGGGAGTGCTCCCAGGTGTGTGGGCCCAGCGGCACCAGACTCTGCACACAAGAGTGCCTCCTTTCCACCCAGGCCTGGTTTCATGGAATGCCTGCTTCACCTGCCAGCATTTGCCTCAGACACATAAACTTCCCATGGAGTATATGAGTAAGCTCTGACAGCTCCATTGTTGGTGAGCTACTAGATAGCAGGAATTATAACCCAATTAAATTCAATACTCTATGGAAAAGGAAAAGGCAATGCAGTCCATCTTACTGATAGACAATTTTAGAATAGGTGTCTGTGATAGAACACACACATTATTTAATCCCCAAATAAGGGTAAAGTTTTAAAAGACAGTAAACCATAGCAGTCTCAGATATTATCTCTAAAGATTTTATTTGATATCCAGGATCCAAGAATGAAAAACATCCAACAATTATGAAACCAGCTTTTGCAATGGCTATCATCACCCAGGAAAAGGCATTGTTTAAAAATCCAAAGAAAATGGAGCAATGTTAAAACCAATCAAGCATTCAAGAACAGATAAGGGATTAAATAAATAATGGTGAATCCATGTTATGAAATATTGGAGCTGTGCAAATGATATTTCAAGTAATCTTTATGACATGGGGAATATTTTCACTATATAATGTCATCTGAAAAAACATGCATAACGCCAATCTGTTTACACAATTTCATCTCAATTATTGAAAAGAACACATATCTATAAGAAAAAAAAAAAAAGGAAGAGGCAGACTCCCGTGGAGGGCAGTTGTGCCAAGCAGAGGCATGGCCTGATGGGCTCATTGGCACCACAGACGTTGCTCTGTGGTTGGGAAGAGGAGGCTGGGGGGCCAAATTCTAAGATGTGTGGCTCTCTGCATATATAGCTACGTGCGCGCGCACACACACACACACACACACACACACACAAAGGATTTTCAACAGAGATGCAATCTACAAACTTCCTAGTGACAGGTATCATGTAGTGAGTAAACCCCCAAAAGGATCTTATGCCTATGAGGCAGAAAATTACAGATTTATCAAACTTTCCCAATTATCCATATCTGTCCCTGTCCCTTTCCTCCCCTTGGCAGAGGATGTCTCATGCTTGTCTTCTCAAAAAATGACAGTTTTGGAAAGGCCCAATGGCTTCATCCGTGAGTCGCAAAGGTGCAAGAAACCTTGCAGGATTTCCCGTGGTCTTCTGCTTTTTCAGTCTCTTTGAGTTCATATTTAGGGGCAGAAAAGCAGGAGAGCCTGAACTTGAGGCCCTGGAGCTGCTGTCAGTAAACCTGGAGAGAAGGGCTGTGTGTCTACACTCCGAGGTGCTAGATCATTATCCCCTTCAGTCTGGGTGTCTGAGAAGCTTGGTCTATCAGTCTAGCAGAACAGACTGAAGATTCCATAGGAACTCAAGGGGAACTGACTCCCGCCCTCCCTCCAGCCTCCAAGCATGAGAGGGCATCACTAAGTCCTCCTGGGGCTCTGGCTAGAGTTCATCTGGGAGGTCTTAGAAGGCTTAATTTTTCCAAATTCTCCTTCTGCTTTTACAGAATAATCCCAAAGTTGATTTTTTATTGAAGAAAAAAGATCTATATTATAAGGGTTCTTATGTAATTATTACAAAGGTAGCCTACATAGTGCAGAAATTGGAACTTGATTAGTATAAATGCATTTTTATCTGAATTTTTGCAAAGTAAGTTCAATAAGTCATTTGATTTGTTAATATTCAGTGTTTATAATTTTGTAGAGACGTGTTTTAACTTTTACTCTGTATTTCTGTGCTCAGAGAGTTGTTTGATAAGCCTGTGCAACTTGACTTCGGAGTTTTATTTCAAGCATATGTAGTTTGTATCAGGAAATCATATTTTTTTAGAATTATGTATTCATCATAGAAAAATCCTTAATTAGCAGTAGTGAAGGAAAGCTCTTAGACTGAAGACTGATTAGCCCAGCCTCCAGAGGAGATGTACGTTAGTGGGACAACGTCCTCTAATAAAGGAACATTCAAGTCAGAAATCACAGTGAAACACCTTAAATTGTTAACCACGAAGGAAACAGCGCCTCCAAATTGATAAGGCATTTAGATCTGCCTAGGCGTTAAAGAAAGTTTCATAACTGCCCACACATGTATTGCAAATATTGAATCATTAGCAATTACTTTAAATATGTTCTTTGTATTTAAAGTGACAAGAATGTTTTCTCCCTGTGGCATGCTCACCCTGGGTTCTTGGAGAACTTTAGACCAATGATGTGGCCAGCGAGTCCCAGCCCAAATCATGAAATTCAAAGACGTGAGAATATGCTGGCACTTACTGCGTGCCGGGAGGGTCTCTCAAAAGGAGAAGGAACTCAGTGGTCACCTGAGGCAGGATCTTTCACACAGCAGCTCTTGTATGCAAAGAGAACATGGCGCAACTCTTTATTAACTACACTGATTTTTTTATTTTTATTTATTTTTAATTTTTTCAGAGCTGCCCCTGCTGATTATAAGGGAAAATTATCTATTAAGATTGAAAACATTAAACTCATAATTTACACTGGTTTCTCAGTTAACGCTCAGTATCCTGTAGGAAAAAGGCCAGTCTGCCAATGTTCTAGGTTACCCAGCCTCGCTGTGACTAGTCAAGATGGCATCAGAAAGGCATCATAGCTCGCCAATAGCAAATGTGTGTGTGTGTATGTGTGTGTGTGTGTGTGTGTGCACTCTGTTCCTAGGCACTGGGGACACTATTGGGAAGAAAATGTCAAACTCTTTGTCTTTACACAGCTCATATTTTAGTAGGGAGTTGAAGAAAGAAAATAAACAAATACATGTGTCATATGGTGATAGGTGTTAAAAAGAAACATGGGACCAGGGGCTATAGTGAAAGTAGTGCAGGGAGAATCATTCTAGAAGAGGTGGTCGGGAAAGCCACATTGATGTGGTGGTGACTGGGAGCAGAGATGTGAATGCAGTAAGCTGGCCATCTGGGCTATGTGGGGAACACATTCCTACAGGGCAGAAGACATAATAGGTGCAAAGGCCCTGAGGTGTGAGGGCACCCCCACCCTGGGTGTTTCACATACAATCTTCATGAAAAGCAGTGGGGCTCATGGGACCTTCAAGCCAAGGGAGAGAGTCAGGATCCTGGGTTGCCACGTCCGGGACAAAGGACCTCCCCATGTCATTTCTTCTTGCCTTGCTGACGTTCTCAGCTAGGTCAAGGCTGGGTGTTGCTCCTGATTTATTTCACTCTGGCCCAAAAACTCAGCAGCCTTCCTGGCTGGTGCAGCCCTACCCAGGTGCACCCTGGCCCTACATCTCATATCTGGCTGCACCTCCAGTTTGGGTCTGGCCCAGCTGGGCCACTCTTCAGCCTCTTCGTCTCTGCCAGGTTTACCCCTCTTGATCCCATATACGTCCAGGAGCCAAGAGAAGCTCAGGCCCCGCACCTCAGGGCCTCTCACTTGTTGGCTGTGCTATACCACCTAAGGGCCTTGGCTGAGCCTGAGTTGGCGTGGGGGCTGCTTCAGGAGGCCAGTCTTTCCCGGAACTTGAAACATGAATGGGGCGAGGGCCACCCTCCCCACACCAGGACCACAAAGGAGTGGGCTTTCCTTGCATTTCCCCACGTCACGTCCTCCACCCTCACAGCACCAGCTCTGTGCTGACAGCAAATGAAGATATTTTCTGCACACATTTGTAGAATGTGTAGGATTGGAGTCTTCCAGGCTTAGCCCACTCTCATCCAAAGGAGGCTTATTATACTGTGAAGCTTCAGCCAACAAATCAGAGGCCAAATATGACATTGTCCAGCTTCAGTTCCATTTGCAAAATATTTCTGCCTTTAGGCCGCACTGCCTGGTGAAGTGTGCCCTCTTCCCTGCCTGTGCCATCTTTTGACTAATAGTCACGTATGTACTGCTACATATTTTTATTAGAGAAGTTACAGCCCCATTCTCACTGTTATCTTAAATTTGAAATTACTACCTCAATTTAAACTAAAGATTTAATTCTTGTAAAGCAAGAATTTTAGGTATGGTCACATTGGTCAATAGTGTAATAAACAATTGTTGTGTAAGAAATAAACACTATACCTATGTATACAGTCTTAAGATTTTATATGTCTTGCATATAGTTGATTGTATCACTTAATGAACAATTTTTAAACTGAAATTTGCATATATATGATAAACGATAGAAAGATAAATGATAGAGAATAGGTTATATATACGTGTGTGTACAAATATATATATATAGAGAGAGAGAAATGTATATAATTCACTGAATGATTTCCTTCAGTTAGAAGGAATCTATGCACATCTATTTTTTTTTCCATCTTGTATTAGATGGAAGTTATATTTTTTCCTTAGGCGTTACCATAAAAGGATGAAAGGAGATCAAGGGAGGCCAGAAGGGAGAGTGTCTGTAGCTACATTCCCAATAAGTTCTTTCCAACTGCCACTTAGGCAATTGCTAGAAAAACTATCAGCAAAGAATGGGGCTTGCTTTGGCTTAAACTGTCAATGCTAGGTTGTTTGGGTCCTCACGCTGATCTGTGCCAAGGTGCAATGCTTTATCAAGGCTGCAGACACCTTTCTAGTAGAAGCGCCACTTCAGCCTGGAGGAAGCAGCAGGGAGACACCAGGGCAGGACCCCAAATGCCACAGCCATTCACAGGCCCTCAGGCAGCAGTCACCAGTCCCCATTACTGAGAAATGACTTGCAGTTGTTTGTTTCTCTTATTCTGTCTTGGAAGCCACATTGTGGTTCTTACTGGAGTCTGACTCATTTATATTCATGTTTTAAAGAAAAATTTTTTTTTTTTTGAGATGGAGTCTTGTCCTGTCCCTCAGGCTGGACTGCAGAGGTGCGATCTTGGCTCACTGCAACCTCTGCCTCCTGGGGTCAAGCAATTCTCCTGCCTCAGCCTCCCCAGTAGCTGGGATTACAGGCACCCGCTACCACACCCGGCTAATTTTTGTTTGTTTTTTTTTTTCGTAGAAACAGGGTTTCACCATGTTGGCCAGGCTGGTCTGAGGAACTCCTGACCTCAGGTGATCCGCCTGCCTCGGCCTCCCAAAGTGCTGGGATTACAGGCGTGAGACACCACGCCTGGCCAGAAAACATTTTTTAAGTATAGAAAAATGAAATTAACTGCCGTGATTCAGGGTTGGAGGAATTAAGTCAGTTGTTTTGTTTTAAAAGTCTTGTGTTACCACAAATGTGTAGGGAAAGAGTCAGAATAAGAGGCCATTTCTATCCACTCAAGGATGAAACAGGGCAGATGTTCAGTGCCTGCTGCCTCCATTCCAATTCAGCAGCTGCCTGGGGTAACAGGGCCCATATTTCTTTATCTTCTAGATGAGAATAAGCCTGCTTTGAGCACGGCAGACTTTTTTTTTTTTTTTTTTTTTTTTTTTTGAGACGGAGTGTCGCTCTGTCGCCCGGGCAGGAGTGCAGTGGCGCGATCTCAGCTCACTGCAAGCTCCGCCTCCCGGGTTCATGCCATTCTCCTGCCTCAGCCTCCCGAGTAGCTGGGACTACAGGCGCCCACCACCTCGCCCCGCTAATTTCTTGTATTTTTAGTAGAGGCGGGGTTTCACCATGTTACCCAGGATGGTCTCGATCTCCTGACTTCGTGATCTGCCCGCCTCGGCCTCCCAAAGTGCTGGGATTACAGCGTGAGCCGCCGCGCCCGGCCGAGCACCGCCGACTTCTAACCATGACTGGGCATCCTGAGCACTCATTCCCCAGCCTGACAAGAGGAACCAGGTGCGCCAAGCATTGGGGGGATGGTCACTATTGCTGACCGGTCTCCCTCGGGCGCTCCACTCTGGGCAGCTGAGCACTCTGCCAGGAGATGGGGCAGAACCACCCCAGTAACCACACACTCCCACTCTGTTCCAGGCATAGCGTCCAGCCTCTCTGGGCTTCCTCTGGCAAAGCCCGTCTAACTGCATGGAGCACAGATCCTGGGGCCACTTCTCTCTGCAAAGCCCTTTCTCCTTGTCATCTGAAGAAATCTGGAGAAATTTACATAGACCTGAAACCCTGAAACCTACACTGGCCCCTCTGGGGTGCCAAGCTTTTTTCTTCTCAGTGGCCTGAATTTTTCTTTAAATTCTTTTTCCCACTTAAGAATGGGGAGAGGGAAGAGGAGGTTAAGGACAATCAGGATGTGAACACCTTAATACCTGAGTGGACTCGCCTCACACTAGATTCACAAAGAAAAATTAAACTACTTTTTAGTGATAGGATCATTTTAACTTTTCTTCCTGTAACATTTTCAAAAATGATACGTAAAAAAGAAAAACATTTCAGGTGTTTTCTGCTGGCAGCCTAGGGAAGTAATTGTTATTACTATTATTTTTACTGTTATTTATACACCCCATTATACTTCAGGGAATCTGAGATGAAAGAAACTAGTTTATAAAAACCAATACAAATTCTCATGATTCAAATAAACTGTTGGCTGGGCGTGATGGCTCACACCTGTAATCCCAGCACTTCAGAAAGCCAAGGCGGGTGGATCACCTGAGGTCAGGAGTTCGAGACCAGCCTGGTGAATATGGCGAAACCCCATCTCTACTAAAAATACAAAAATTAGCCGGCCGTGGTGGCACATACCTATAATCCAAGCTACTTCGGAGGCTGAGGCAGGAGAATCACTTGAACCCAGGAGGCAGAGGTTGCAGTGAGCCGAGATCGCGCCATTGTACTCTAGCCTGGGCAACAAGAGTGAAACGCCATCCCAATAAATAAATAAATAAAAATTTTAAAATAAACTTATAAAATTTCTTATTCTAATAATTTAACTCAGCACAGTTACAATTAAATAGTGTAAAGATCTTTTGGATTTGGTTTTGGCTTTTTTCTCAAATCACTCTGGGTGGCTCCCTGTTGATGTTCAACCATGTCTGGTTTGGTGGAATATGTAAGTTGAATAGAATGGTATTGGTAGTGATTTTCTGTCAATTGGTAAGTTAAGAAATGATTTAATTATGCAAAAAGCAGACTGTGCTATGTTATGAAAAGACCTCCTTGAGGGCTTGGGGTCTTTTCTTTCTCAGCACTGCTGAAACAGTGGATACCTAGCAAGCTTGGGTACAGTGTCCAGCTGAGGCTTCCACAGCTTACAGAGCAAACCTCACTGCTATGCCAGAGGCTTGTCAGGAGAAGAGCTTGGATCTGGGATACACAATTAAGAACTCATTTAAAAGAAAGATCCTGGAACGTTAAACATCAAAATATCTGTGCATTTATATATACAGTACATACTTAGTATGACACTGGTTACCAACTTGGCTGAGTCTGCTGAGATGGAACACAAACACACAAAAGTCACGTACGTGGATTTGTTACTTACAGATAGGCAGCACCTGGGCTTCATGGCAAGCTAGTCCTCCAAGGCTGGGGAAAACTGCTCGGGGGAGGTGTAGTCCTGTCTGTGCATGCCACACTTGTACCTCAGCTAGGGACCCGCAAAAGCAGCCCACCCTGGGTTTTATACTCCAAGGTGAAGTTACCCCCTGGACAAAACATTGAAAGACATTCTGTTTCCAAGGAACTGGAACAGGGCCTGGGCTGTTCTAGCCATTCCTTTCTTCTCTCAGGATGTTGCATTCCCAGTACATTCTACAGTTATTCTTGAGAACTACAAGAGACAGGGGAGAGAACTGGGTTGGTCCAAGGCCACCCAGAGAACTGTCCTGCACTTAGATCCTTCTAACCTTTGCAATTAAGATAAATGCTGCTAATTAGTCAAACTTCTGTTATGATAATTATTCAAACATAATCTTAAGTGCATTTATTATGTAACTAGAGAAATCAGAAACAAATAAACTGAGCATTGAACCCAAGAAGCTGGATGAAAATGCAAAAGAAATAGGGGAAAGATCTTAAAAACAAGTTTATAAAATAAAAAAGAAACATTTTTAAGTGACATTTTCTGATTTTTTTCATGTTCATATCATTTGAATATTTTTCTACATGAATATTTGTAGTTTTAGTACTGACTTGTAGGAGCTGTAAATGGCAATTTATTGTTATAGAGGATACAAATGTTTTTCATGTATTTATTCACTTTCCTATAAAGTTTATTTACACTATTCTCACTGATAATATTTAAAATTAGAACATAGAATTTAATATTCTTCAGATATACTCATCATAGCTAAATTTGATTATTCTCTTCTGTGTTATATAACTGTCTTCTGAGTTATCTGTTACTGGACATTTGGATGAATAGCTTCAAGGGCATGTGTTGGATATATTAACTAAATACTTACTGAGGTACATTGTTAACAAAAACAAAAGTTCAGTGGAGCTCATATTGATCAGCCAGTTTTCCACAGCAGTATCTTCATTCTGTGGATGACATAAAATCTAATCCTCCAAAAATACTGTTGTGTTTTTCCCTACATGTTCGTTCCTGACTTTAGTAAAGTGTTTAAATCCTTCTAAAAGATTCTGCCTTATATCAAATAATAGAAACAAATACCCAGATTCTTCTGTTTTTAAAGAGTTTAAAGTCAACTGCTTTTTATTTATTTTTTTTCAGAAATGAAAAGTAGGATGTTTTAAAAATACTTCTTAGGGCCGGGCACGGTGGCTCACGCCTGTAATCCCAGCAATCTGGGAGGACAAGGTGGGCAGATCACCAGGTCAGAAGATAAGAGACCATCCTGGCTAACACAGTGAAACCCCATCTCTACCAAACATACAAAAAAAAAAACAAAAAAAAAAAATTAGCCGGGCTTGGTGGCGGGCACCTGCAGTCCCAGCTACTCGGGAGGCTGAGGCAGCAGAATGGTGTGAACCCGGGAGGTGGAGCTTGCAGTGAGCCGAGATGGCACTGCACTCCAGCCTGGGCTACAGATGAAGGCTCTGTCTCAAACAAAACAAAACAAAACAAAAAAACCTTTATAGGATGAGACCACTACACTTTTTTCAAGTGAGATCACTAGATCATTCTTTTTTTTTTTTTTTGAGACGGAGTTTGCTCTTGTTGCCCAGGCTGGAGTGCAATGGTGCGATCTCAGCTCACCACAACCTCCGCCTCCCAGGTTCAAGCAATTCTCCTGCCTCAGCCTCCCGAGTAGCTGGGATTACAGGCATGCACCACCACGCCCAGCTAATTTTGTATTTTTAGTAGAGACGGGGTTTCTCCACGTTGAGGCTGGTCTGGAGCTCCTGACCTCAGGTGATCCACCCGCCTCGGCCTCCCAAAGTGCTGGGATTACAGTTGTGAGCCACCGCGCCCGGCCTAGGTCATTCTTATCATTGTTTTTACTTAGCACTTTCCCACTGTTGGGATGTAGCCGCTCTTAGATGATATGTGCCAATAGAGCAAATCATCAAAAATGGAAACTCTTCTGTTTCGCCAATATTTCAGTTTCACAATTAACTACTTCCTGATTTTAAGATGATGGCTGGTACAAAATAAACCCATTCCATTTTATTATACCATTTCCTTTTTGAGAGAAGTCAAGCATCAATGAAGATCTGTAAAACTTAGTTGAGTTTTCATTTCTCATACCAGAAGAATTTCCAGGGCTTTATAAACTTAAGAGAGAGCATTCTACTAATCAGTCCACTAAAATACGCTTTGAAAGTAGTTCCAAAATACCTTTTATAAGATTATTTACTATAAGTTTCTTCTGCATAAGTTTGTATATCACCTAACTTTTTAAAAATTATTAAGAATACATCATCATATCCTTCTTTAAATTCATCTTGGACTGATCCACACTATATAATACAAAATGAGAAACAACTAAAGTTGACACAGATAAAAATCTGTATCCCTCAGTACTCCTTTTATTAAGCAAAAAATGGAAAACAAACTAAGAAATAAGGTATTTTATGAAATTAGGGATGCTATTACGAGGAAAATGTAGTAGTACTGGACCTGTCCAAGGTGAAAAGTTCAAAGAGAGAAATTTTCGTCCACAAGCTAAAAACCCAAAATGGCTACATAGCCAGTGTAAGTGTCAATCTCATTTCTGGAGTGCTGTAAGAAAATAACTATCAGTCTAGAATTCTATATCCAGCACAAATATTCTTCAGGAATAAAGTGGAACATCAAGAAGAAAGTAGAAACAATAAAAAGAGCAAAATTTTGGGTAAATACAGGTTTTCCTTCTACTCTTGAATTTCCAAATTATGTTTGACTATTGAAGTAAAAATTATAATAATGTCTGATGTGATTCTCGATGTATGTAGAAAAATATTTAAGACCATTATATTATTATTATTATTATTATTTTTGAAACAGAGTCTCCTTCTGTCACCCAGGCTGGAGGCAGTGGCACGATATCGGCTCACTGTAAGCTCTGCCTCCTGGGTTCACGCCATTCCCCTGCCTCAGCCTCCCGAGTAGCTGGGACTGCAGTTGCCTGCCACTACGCCCAGCTAATTTTTTGTATTTTTTAGTAGAGACGGGGTTTCACTGTGTTAGCCAGGATGGTCTCGACCTCCTGACCTGGTGATCCGCCTTGGCCTCCCAAAGTGTTGGGATTACAGGCGTGAGCCACTGCGCCCGGCCAAGACCATTATATTATAAATGGAGAGGGAAAGAGACACAAAAGGGGATATAATTTCTATACTTTAACTGAACTGGTAAAATATTGATACCAGCAGAATGTGCTGTTACGTGTGTATAATTTAATACCTAAAGGACTCCCAAAAAGCTATACAGAGAGATATACCCAATAACACTAGAGATAACAAAAAAATGGAATTCAAAAAAAAAAAATGAAGTAGCCCACAGTGAAACAGGAGAAAGAAAAACATAGATGTAAGAAACAAAGAATAGACACAAAACAAAAAAAGAAGACTTAAACTCTAAAATATCAGTAATTACATTAAATGTAAATAGTTTAATTTAGAAGATTCTAAAAAAAAAAAAACCCCAAAAAAGTATACAAATGAAGAAGAAATTTGAGCTTTCAAGGGATAGGAATCATGGGGGTAGGAAGGTGACAGTAAGGGGTTGCATGAGGGAGATCTCTGTGGTGAGGGAGATCTCTGTGGTGAGGGAGATCTCTGTGGTGTGGGAGATCTCTGTGATGATGGAGTATTTCTGTATTTTAATTTCTGTGGTGGTTACACAAATCTACACATGATAAAATGACAAAACTATACAAACCATATTATGCCATTGTCAAAATCCAAACTTTGACATTGTGCTACAGTTATGTAAGATACATCTATTAGGGAAATTGAGTGAAGGGTATGAGGAAACTGTATTATCTGTGAAACTTTCTGCAAACCTATAATTATTTCCAAGTAAAAGTTTAAAAGACTCTTACAAAGAAACACAGAGATAAAAATATCAATGATTCAATAAAAGGATGGCAAATATACTCTCAGATAAACAAAACTAGGAAAATTTTGCCATAATCATATTATTCTACATCACTAAAGGAATTTCTTATAAAAAGAAGGGAAGTGACAACAGATGGATGTTCCAGAATGCAAGAATAATTAAAGCACTGAGACTGATAAATATAGGAGTTAATCTAAGTGAACGTTGAAAAGCAATAGCATTTTACACACCTAGTAACAGATCCTCAAAATAGATGAAAGAAAAGTTGACAGAACTGAAAAGATAAATATGCAATTCTACAATAATAATAATTGGAGACTTCAACACCCCACATTCAATAAGAAATATATAACAAACAGAAGATACGTAAGAAAATGGAGGACTTGAACAACACTATAAACCAGGTGGATCTAAGAGGCATACACAGAATACTCTACCCAACAACAACAGCAAACAAATTCTTAAAGGCACATGAGACATTTCTCCAAGACAGACCATATGTTAGGCCACAAATTAAATCTCAATAGATTTTAGAAGATAGTTGCCATACAAATGGTATCTTCTCAGACCACAACAGGATGAAGTTAGATATCAATAACAGAAAGCAAACAAAAAAGAAATGGAGATCTGCTATTACATGAAATGGACACTGCATTTCAAAAACTTAGTGTAATTGGAAAAGTTTCCTTATCCCCCAGCAGGGCGTGTGATGGGGGTGTGGCTCACTTCTTTGGTGCCCTGCTACTCATACCTCTAGGGGAACCATGCAGACAGGCAGGGCATGGGAAGCGCTGGCACCATGGCAGCCTCCAAGGTTGAGTGTTTACAACTTCTGAAGCCCCAGTGGGCATATATTACAGTTAACTCTTTCAGTTTTGCGGTCTGCAGGTGGCTTGTGTTAATTAGCTCAATTAGACACTGTGCCTTATCGCAAGGACAGAGGGCTTTTTGTATCCTGGGTTCTTGCCTTGGTGTACCAAAAAAATTAGATCACACGTGGGTTTGGAGAATGAGTGCAAGGTTTTATTGAGTGGAAGTAGCTCTCAGCAGATGGAGGGGAGCCAGAGGGGGGATGGATTGGGAAGGTGGTTTTCCCCTGGAGTGGAGCCGCTCAGTAGCCAGACTCTCCGACTGAATTCCCCTCAGCGTTTCGTCATTCCACTGGTGTCTGCCAAAGTGTTCCTCTGCCTGTGTGTTCCTCTCAATGTCCAGCCATTTGAGTGTCCTTCCACTTGTGTGTGTTCCTCTTGATGTCCAGCTTCTGTGTCTCTGCCCGCTAAGGTCTCAGGGTTTTATAGGCACAGGATGGGGGCATGGCAGGCCAGGGTGGTCTTGGAAAATGCAACATATGGGAACGAAAGCAGAAATATCTGTCCTCACCTAGGTCCATGGGCACAGGCCTGAGGGTGGAGCCCTAGCCAGGGACCTTCTCCTCTACCCAACACTGCCCTGCCCTCCTCCTATATCATTAGTACAAAAGAAAGAATGTAAGATATCTCGATACTAATTTCTTTCATTGATGATGTATTGGAATGGTATGATAATACTACGAATATATTAAGCTAAATAGAGTATACTATTAAAAATATTTTTAAAGAAGGAAAACTAGAAAATTCAAACATTTGTGGAAATTAAACAACACATTCTTAAACAAGCAATGGATCAAAAAAGAAATTGCAAATGAAATTAGAAAACAGAGTTGAATGAAAATGAAAACACAACATACCAAAACTTGTGGGATGCACTGAAAGCTGTGCTCACAGGGAAATGTATAGCTATAAATAACTATATTGAAAAGGACATTCCAAATCAGTAACTTAACTTTCCACCTTAAAGAATGAGGATATAAAGAACAAATTAAACTCAAAACTAGAAGGAAATAAACAATAAAGATTAGAGCACAGAAAAACAAAATGGGGACTAGAAAAACAATAGAGAAAAATCAATAAAATCAAAAGTTGGTTTTTTGTAAAGATCAACAAAATTGACAAACTTACCTAGAAAGACTAAGAAGAAAAGGGAAAACATGCAAATGACAAAAATTAGACATGAGAATGGGGACAATACTAGTGATGTTATAGAAATAAAGAATTAAGAGTACTGTGAGCAATTGTATGCCAAACAAATAACCTAAAATAAATGCATAAATTTCTTAAAACACACAAATTATCTAAACTGACTAAAAAGAAGAAACCAAAGTGATTAACAAATATAAATTTTAACAGATATAACAAATAAAGAAAGAGAGAGAGAATTCTGGAATGGCAAATTAAGAAGCACCGGGAAACTGTCTCCCCCAACTAGACACAATTGCATTGATAGAATATGTCTGACGTAATTCTTTTTTTTTTTTTTTGAGACAGAGTCTTTGCTCTGTCAACCAGGCTGGCATTCAGTGCCACGACCTGGACTCACTGCAAGCTCCGCCTCCTGGGTTCATGCCATTCTCCTGCCTCAGCCTCCCTAGTAGCTGGGACTACAGGCGCCTGCCACCACACCGGCTAATTTTTTGTATTTTTTAGTAGAGACGGGGTTTCACGGTGTTAGCCAGGATGTTCTTGATCTCCTGACCTGGTGATCCACCCGCCTCGGCCTCCCAAAGTGTTGGGGTTACAGGCGTGAGCCACTGCAGCCAGCCTGATGTAACTCTTTTGGAACTCTAGAGTCTGTTAAAGGTTTGCGACTTCCAGGGAAAGGTTGGATGGTAAATTGCATTAATTTTGTCAATTTCAGCTCTTAGCACAGTAGCAACTATCCATCCCTTACCTCCACTCACATGGCAGGTAGCTGTGCATGCATTCCAATAGCAGTTTCCATTCAGCTTGCAGAGGCCAGGGTGGCCAAATAGTACCCTGTCCTCCAAATATCAGAGATCTATTCTCTGATTGCTAATTGCTGCTTCTGATCTCAGATATTCTGATAAAGGATTAATATCCAGACTATATGAAGAACTCTCAGATCAGAATATCTCAGACATTCTGATAAAGGATTAATACCCAGACTATATGAAGAACTCTTAATACTTGATATGGTTTGGCTCTGTGTCCCCACCGAAATCTTATGTTGAATCGTAATCCTCACATGTCGGGGGGACCTGGTGGGAGGTGACTGAATCATGGCGGTGGACTTCCCTCTTGCTGTTCTCATGCCATTGAGTGAGTTCTCACGCTATTGAGTGAGTTCTCACAAGATCTGGTTGCTTGAAAGTGTGTGGCACTTCCCCCTTCACTCTCTCTTTCTCTCCTACCACCATGTGAAGAAAGTCCTTGGTTCCCTTTCATCTTCCGCCGTGATTGTAAGTTTCCTGAGGCCTCTCAGTCATGCTTCCTGTTAAGCATGCAAAACTGTGAGTGAATTAAACCTCTTTTCTTCATAAATTACCCAGTTTCAGGTAGTTCTTTATAGCAGTGTGAAAACGGACTAATGCAATACTCAACAACAAAAAACAAACAAACAAACATTTAAAAATGGGCAGACGACTAGAATAAACATTTCTCCAAAGAAGACCTACAAATAGCCAATAAATACATAAAGAGATGTCCAACATCATTAGTAGATAGAAAAATACAAATCAAAACCACGAGATACCATGTCACACCTACAAAGATGGCTATACAAATGATAATAAAGATAATAATTGAAAAATAATAAATACTGGTGAGAATGTGGAGAAATTGGAACGTGCATTAAGGGTGGAAATGTAAAATGTGGTGCAACTGCTTTGTAAGATAATTTGGCAGTTTCTCAAATAGTTAATCTTAAGACTACCAAATGACTCAGCAATTCCTCTCCTAAGTATGTATAGAAAACAATGGAAAGCAAGGACTAAAGCAGTTATTTGTGTACTAATGTTCATATCAGCATTATTCATAACATCCAAAAGGTGGAAGCAATCCAAGTGTCCATCAACAGATGGATAGATAAAGAATATGTGGCATTGTGATGGAATACTATTCAGCTATAAAAAGAAATAAAATTTTTATATTTGCTACAACATGAATGAACCTTGAAAATATTATGCTTTGTTTAATAAGGCAGATATAGCAGGACAAATATCGTACAATGCCATGTATATAAGGTACCTAGAGTAGGCAAATTTACAGACAGAAAGTAGAATCAAGCTTACTAGAGGATAAGGAGTGGGGAAATGGGTACTTATTGATTAATGACTACAAAGTTTATGTTGAGGATAATAAAAATTTTTGGTGTAGGGGCTAAGCACGGTGGCTCACACCTGTAATCCCAGCACTTTGGGAGGCTGAGGCAGGTGGATCACGAGGTCAGGAGATCGAGACCATCCTGGCGAACATGGTGAAACCCCGTCTCTATTAAAAATACAGAAAAATTAGCCGGGCGTGGTGGCGGGCGCCTGTAGTCCCAGCTACTCTGGAGGGTGAGGCAGGAGAATGGCATGAACCCGGGAGGTGGAGCTTACAGTGAGCAGGGGTCGTGCCACTGCACTCCAGCCTGGGCGACAGAGCAGACTCCGTATAAAATATATATATATATATATATATTTTTTTTTTTTGGTGTAGATAGTAACAATAGTTATATAACATTGTAAATATATTTAATGCTACTGAACTGCATACTCACAAATGGTTACAATGATAAAAAGTATGTTATGTATATTTTACCACAATAAAAAATAGAAAAAAATAATGGCATCACCTTGTAGAATGTTTAAGATAAAAAATGAAATTTTATTAACAGCAGAATAAAAAGAGAGGAAGGAAAATAAAGTAAAAGAGTCTTCTAATGCTCCTTTATCATTTGGTATGAGGTCAAGATACAGATTAACTGAGAAACTGATCAATTAAGTGCTGTAGTGCTCAATTTTATGTGTTCAACTTTACTAGGCCACATGGTGCCCAGACATTTGATCAAACATTATTCTGGATGTGTCTGTGAGAGTATTTCTGGATAAATTAACATTTGAATCAGTAGACTGAATAAGGCAGATTGTGCTCCCCAATGAGAATGGGCCTCATTCAATCAGCTGAAGGCCTAAATAGAACAAGAAAGCTGACCTTTTCTTTCATGCCTGACTGTTGGAGCTGGGATATGCATCTTTTACTGCCTTCAGACTTGAACTGAGAAACGGATTCTTTTTAGGTCTCAAGACTGCTGGCTTTCAGACTGTGTGTGTGTGTCCTGTTGGTTCTGTTTTTCTGAACAATATGGATATTAATATAGTATCTATGTTATAATTATTACAATAAAAATAAAAATAGTATACAACTTCTAAATTACAAGGGGGGAAATTAGATAAGAAAATATAAACAACCTAAGATAAAAGAAAATGGAACATGGATAAACTACGAACACAGATATAATGGAAAATACACACCTATATATATCAGTAATTGTTTTAAACATAAACTGACTAAACTATTTATTTTAAAGTAAAAATGAACAGACTATAACACAAAACCCAATTTGCTCCTGTTTTCACAAGACATATATAAAACATTAGGATACAGAAAGGTTAATGATTTAAAAAGTAAAAAGGCATACCAGGAAAATATTAACCATAAAAGCTAACATAGACATGTTATTATTAGGAAGATAAAATAATTATAATATATATACATCTAATTACCTAGCCTCAACACTCATAAATAAAAACATCCCTAGAACTACAAAGAAAATCCTCTACTCTGATTATTTTTCTTTTTAACACATTTTTATCACTAATTAATAGAAGAAACTAAGAGGATTTAGAAGATTTGAACCTCATAAAACTGTCACTCAGTCAAATGCTGCCAAAATACACATCATTTTCAAGCACATACAGAACATTTATTTAAAAAGAAGCACACACTGAACCATAAATAAAATCTCAACAAATTTCAAATGATGGAAAATCTACAGATATTTTCTGATAAGGAAGCCATTAATCTGGAGAAAAATAAAAACATCAAAAATATCTAGAAAAATATGGAAATTAATAAACACGCATTTCATTTACCCATAAGTCAAAAAGAAATCTAAAAATAAGTAGAAAATATACAGATGTCTATAAGAATAATTAGTTCAAAA
Source organism: Homo sapiens (assembly GCF_000001405.40). Taxonomy (NCBI): domain Eukaryota; kingdom Metazoa; phylum Chordata; class Mammalia; order Primates; family Hominidae; genus Homo; species Homo sapiens. The sequence goes on from NW_025791789.1 coordinate 504,129, forward strand.
TTACTGTAGGAAAATATATACAGTACATCTCTCTAATAAAAAAATTTACAATAAAAATCCCCTCCAAGAGATGGGCCAGCCGAGATAGTCAAATAAAAATAACAAAAGATATCCAGATTGAAAAAGAAGAAGTAAAACTATCTCTACTTATACATGACCTAAGTTTTGTATACAGATAATTCAAAAGAACACCCCGGAAAACTATTAGAACTAATGAGTTCAGCAAGTTTGAAGGATAAAAATCAATATTAAAAATTAATTTTATTTTTATATGTTAACAATGAACATTCAGTGAATGAAATTAAGAAAACAATTTCATTTGACATGTGAGGTAATTCAGGAATGGAAAACCAAATACCACATGTTCTCACTTATAAGCTAAGCTATGGGTAGGCAAAAGCATACAGAATGGTATGATGAACATTGGAGACTCAGAAGGGGAAGGGATAAAAAACTACTTACTGGGTACAATGTACACTCCTCAGGTGTCAGGTGTACTAAAATCTCAGACTTCACCACTACACAATTCATCCATGTATCCAAAAACCACTTCTACCCCTAAAGCTACTGAAGTAAAATATATATATATATACACAATTCCATTTGAAATGACATCAAAAAGAATAAAATACTAAGGTATAATTTAACAAAAGAATTGCAAGATTTGTATACTAAAAACTACAAACCAGTTTTAAAAGAAATTAAAGATCTAAATAAATGGAAAGATATTACCTAGACAATATTTTTGTTGTTGTTGTTGTTGTTTGTTTGTTTGTTTTGAGGCAGAGTTTCACTCTTGTTGCCCAGGCTGGAGTACAATGGCACAATCTCGGCTCACTGAAACCTCCCCCGCCTCTCGAGTTCAAGCGATTCTCCTGCCTCAGCCTCCCAAAGACTTAATATTGTTAAATGACCATACTTTGTAAGCTGATCTACAGATTCAACACAATCTCTATCAAAATCTTAGCTAGCTCTTTTTCAGAAACTGACAAACTGATCTTAAAAGTTCTGAAAATTCAGGGACCAAGAATCCCCAAAACAATTTTGAAAAAGAATAAATTTAAAGGATTCCCGTTTAATGATTTTAAAACATAACACAAAACTATAATAATAAAAACAGTGTAGTATGGCCGTAAGAATAACACATAGATCAGTAGAACAGAATTGAGAATCTAAAAATAAATTATTATATTTATAGCCAATGAATTTTTCAGAAGGGTTCTAATAAAAGTGCTTGGAGAAAGAAGAGCCTTTTCAACAAATGTGGCTAGATAACTCAATGCCCTATCTCACACCATACACAAAAAGCTTATTCAAAAAGATTAAAAACCTAAGTATAAGCATAAAAATCTGTAAAACTTTTAGAAGAAAATAGAGGAGTGAAATTTTCTGACCTTGGGTTTAGGCAAAGATTTTTAAGGTACAACAGCAAAAGCACGAGCAATGAAAGAAAAAATAAATTCGACTTCATCAAAATTTAAAAGTTTCGTGCTACAAACGATACCATCAAAAAAAGACAAAACTTGCAGAAATGAATAAAATATTTGCATGCCATATATCTGATAAGGGTCTTATATCCAGAATATAAAGGAATCATACCACTCTCAATAGTAGCAAGGCAAATAAACCAAATACAATATAGGCAAAGGATTTAAATAGGCATCTCTCCAAAGAAGATGTACAAATATCCACAAACATATGAAAATTGGCTCAACATCACTATTCATTATGGAAATGCAAATCAAAATCACATCTACAAAGACAGCTATAATCGAAAAGGCAGACAGTAAAAACTTTTGGCAAGGATTTGAAGACATTTAAACCCTCACACACTGTTGATAAATATGTGAAATGATGCAGCCATTGTGGAAAACTGACAATTCCTCAAAAAATTAAACATAGAATTACAATACGATTCAATAATTCCACCATTAGGTGTGAAACATGTTCACACACACACAGACACAAATGTGTACATGGGCCAGGCGCGGTGGCTCACGCCTGTAATCCTAGCACTTTGGGAGGCCGAGACAGGCAGATCATGAGGTCAGGAGTGTGAGAGCAGCCTGGCCAATATGGTGAAACCCCATCTCTACTAAAAATACAAAAATTAGCCAGGCATGGTGGCACGTGCCTGTAGTCCCAGCTATTTGGGAGGCTGAGGCAGAAGAATCACTTGAACCCAGGAGGCAGAGGTTTGCAGTGAGCAGAGATCATGCCACTGCACTCCAGCCTGGGCGACAGAGCAAGACTCTCTCAAAAAAAAAAAAGTGCACATGAATGTTCATAGCAGCATTATTCCTAATAGCCAGAAGTGGAAACAACCCAATGTCCAAAATGCCCATTTATCCTGATGAATGGATAAGTAAAATGTGGTACATAAATACAATGAAAGATTATTCTGTCTTAAAAAGAAATGAAGTATTGATATAGGCTACAACATAGATGAACCTTGAAAGCATTATACTAAGTAAAAGAAGCCAGCCACAAAAGACCATATATTGCATGGTTCCAATTCTATTAAATGCCCAGAATAAGCAGGTAGATTAGTGGTTACTTCGGGTAGAGAGGTGAGGAGTTGGTGAAGTGGGGAAGGAGAGGAGAATAGCAAGTGACTGCTAACGAGCATGGGGTTTCTTTTAAGGGAAATAGAAGTATTCTAAAGTTGAATAATGGTAATGGTTTTACAAAACTGTGAATATAGTAAAAAACATTAAATTACATACTTTAAATGGGTGAATATTATGGAATGTAAAATTATATCTCAATAAAACTGTTTTTTTAAAAAACCTTTTCTTATAGAACATATCTTCCCACCTTTCATTATAAAAACTCAGTGCTTAGGCAGGAACTAAAAGGAACTCTGTGTTTGTTTAATGTGTGATTGGGCTTAGGGAAAAGTACTGAATGAGCACAACAGATTGTAACATCAGTTACTTACGGATTACCCAAATTTTGTATACGTATAATCCAAAAGAATACCCCAGAAAACGATTCCTAATAAATGAGTTCAGCAAGTTTGAGGGATAAAAATCAATATTAAACAATTAATTGTATTACTATACACTCGCAGTGAGCACTAAGTGAATGAAGTTAAGAAAACAACTCCATTTGAAATGTGAAGTAACCCAGAATAGAAAACCAAAACCATATATTCTCACTTATAAGCTAATATGGGTAGGCAAAGGCATAGTGTGGTATAAAGGACACTGGAGACTCAGAAGCGGAAGGGGAGAGCGGATGTAAAAACAGGAAATAGGATAGAAGAGGGGTGTAGAATAATTTTTGTTTGTTTGTTTGTTTTTTGAGACGGAGTCTCCTTCTGTCGCCCAGGCTGGAATGCAGCGGCGCGATCTCGGCTCACTGCAAGCTCTGCCTCCCAGGTTCACGCCATTCTCCTGCCTCAGCCTCCCGAGTAGCTGGGACTACAGGCGCCCACCACCGTGCCCGGCTAATTTTTTGGTATTTTTAGTAGAGACGGGGTTTCACCGTGTTAGCCAGGATGGTCTCGATTTCCTGACCTCGTGATCCGCCTGCCTCGGCCTCCCAAAGTGCTGGGATTACAGGCGTGAGCCACCGCGCCCGGCCGAATAACATTTTTTTAATCATGTAGAAAAGAGAAGATATACACAGAACGTTAACTGAACAGGAAGAATATAAAATTCCGTGTATAATATCTGCAAGTGTAAAAATGTGCAGAAACAAAAAGCATACAGTGTATGCCCTATTAAAATAATTCTATAGCAAGCTGGCTGGTTTCGTTTGGTTACAATTCAATTATTAGCTGGACAAAAACTGAGTTTTTTGGCCTATTCATGTAAGATCTTTGTTAAGAGGCATATACCACGGAAGTTTTTTTCTCTAAAAGGTTTAAAACCCAAAAGAGTATATGTAGATTCAAGAGAGCAGATAGGAAGCATGCCTTTCATTCTACTTACCCCTGAAATGCCACTAAGATGACAATAAGGGGGTTGTCTTTGTAAAAAACATAATAAACCCATAAGGATGAAAGAAGAGAAAACAGGAACTTGGGGATCTGGAAAAAAAGATGGATATGTGCCATTGACTTAGTAGTTTATATCACGTGTAGAAGAGGTTCGAATTATACGAAATGGTCCCACTCCCAAAGTTCAGGAATTGATGACATTAGGTACACTTGAGAGAAAGGACCATGTAAAGGACATTGCCAGGAGTCACATTACCAGGTCCCCCTCCCAGCTCTAGATAACTGCCTTTCCCCCAACATGTGTCCCATCTCAGGTCCTCTTAACCCCCTTTGACTTCAGCCATGGCTGCACTACCCTGAATGCTTTCTGCAATGAGCTTTACTGAAATTTCTCAGGACACAGCACACAGGTCTGCATAACCTGGGAGTGGAGAGGCATTAACTCCAAAGAAACAACCTGCTTCTGTTGGAGGACAATAGCCATCAAGAGGATGCATTTCATGTAGTTCCTCAAACAGTTCCAGCAGTATTCAGCCCTATCTGCAGAGGTGAGCCCCTATGTAATTTTTTTTTTTTTTTTTTTTGAGACAGAGTCTTGCTCTGTCGCCAGGCTGGAGTGCAGTGGCACGATCTTGGCTCACTGTAATCTTCTCCTCCTGGGTCAAGCAATTCTCCTGCCTCAGCCTCCCAAGTAGCTGGGATTACAGTCACCTGCCACTACACCCGGCTAATTTTTGTATTTTTAGTAAAGACTGGGCTTCACCATGTTGGCCAGGATGGTCTTGATCTCCTGACCCTATGTATTTTTTAATTGGCTTTTCCTTCTCTCTGTCATGTTCTCCAGGCCCTCACATTACTGTTTCCTACAGTCACTTCCCAAATAAAATAAAATGCCTACATACCTTTGTACTAGGCTCTGTTTTTAGAGAAAACCCAGGTTAAGAGAAATTTGGTTTAAATATTAGTAATAATGTATAAAAATAAAGTATAGCCCCCCAAACAAGCAATCATTAATCCCAAAGGAAAGAAAATGCTGTTCTTGAAAGGAAGAGTAATCATAGTACCACACACAGCTAAACTTAAAGTAGCAGGTGGGCAGTCATCACAACAAAGGCTGAGTGGTAATCTTACCTCACTGTTGTATGAGAAGATTAGATTGCTGCAAGAATGTGGATGAGAAGTGTGGATAGCTGTTGTATGGTACAATAAGAAACATCCCATGCCTGTAAGATTAATGATGGCCATAAAGCCCACTCAAACATCTCATGGGGTCTACACTATGTTTCACTTAGCAGTATGATGTAACCTGGCCTGGGGATTTCCAGCCCTGGCCGGGGGATGATTACTGGGTCCCTATGAAAATAAGACCTAAAAACCCTGATTGCCTAGGCCACCTCAGCACATATGCCACTTTCATGAATCTTAAAACAAAGCTTACCCTTATATGATGAAAATTCCTCTATGAAAGAAACACCTAATGACTGAAGCCAGATTAAATACAGGAATAAAAAAGGAGGAAGAATCCCCCAAACAATGAGAACAGTCTGTGGATGAAGACCCTCCCCATCAGGTGGTCATCTGACCCTGACTGTATCTGGCCTGTGCCGCCAGCCTGCTCCCGCTATCCCTCTCGTAAGAGCACTGCCAGAATGAACTGCTGGAGCATCAGACAGTGCTGAAGACTCACCTTGGATGCTGAATGAACAGAAGGCGAACAGCTGCGTCTGGAGAAGCTGGTTCACTAGGACCACCCGAGACTACTGAAGATCAGCTTCAGTAGTATCCAGTTATCAAACTGGATACAAGAATGAGATTTGTGTAAGCAAATGAGTAACCACACCCATTCTCACGGGAAAAGCAGGAGGGTAGAAAGGTGAAAAAAAAACAAAACTTTAAGAAATACCCAAAATTAATATGTGTTAACAGGTTGCCACTGCTCCATTGTCCAGAGTTGGGGCAAGTCGTTTATCCATGATCCCAACTTTTGTGCTGGAATACAAAAAGAGTAATTATTGGCTGGGCATGGTGGCTCATGCCTGTAATCCCAGCACTTTGGGAGGCCGAGGTAGGTGGATCGCGAGGTCAAGAGATGGAGAACAGCCTGGCCAACATGGTGAAACCTCGTCTCTACTAAAAATACTAAAATTAGCTAGGCGTGGTGGTGTGTGCCTGTAGTCCCAGCTACTCGGGAGGCTGAGGAAGGAGAATCCCTTGAACCTGGGAGGCGGAGGTTGCAGTGAGCCGAGATCATGCCACTGCACTCCAGTCTGGTGACAGAGCAAGATTCCGTCTAAAAAAGAAAAGAAGAAAGAAGAAAAAAGAAAGAAGAAAGGAGAAGAAGACGAAAGAAGAAGAAAGAAGAAGAAGAAAAAGAGGAGGAAGAGCAGGAGGAGGAAGAGGAGGAGGAAGAGGAGGAAGAACAAGAGGAGGAAGAAGAAGAAGGAGAAGAAGAGGAAGAAGAAGAATTATTGTGAAAAGGTTATATTGTGAGTATAAAGAGTAATTATTTTGAAAATATTTTCTCACTTTCCATTTTATCTTTTAACTGTCTGCAAGAAAGATAGAAAATGGCACAAACCTAAATCATTCTCTCTGCTCTCCATCATCTATCTACTCTCCATATTACTCAAGAGTACTGCTTCAAGCCTTTTAAAATTCTGTATTCCAAAGAGAACCAGCTTCCAAAATATGAGTTATCAGGTCCTCTGAGTCTTGTTTGACATTTGACAACATCGGATACATTCCTCCAATGGCAACAGACAAGTGCAATCTTTTTAGGAAAAATAACCCATGTCTATTTTTGTTGTAGCTGAATTTTTGCATCCTCTTTTTTACCAGAAAAGGGATCTTGATACAAACCCCAAGAGAGTGTTCTTGGATCTTACACAGGAAAGAATTCAAGGTGAGTTGCAGAATAAAGTGGGAAGGGAGAGTTTATTGAAAGCCTCTAGGTTATAGAGTAAGGTATCCTCAGAAAGCAAGAACAGGAATGCCCCATCTTTGTTTTAAGTTTTTCTTACATATACATCTTCTTTATGTAAAGAATAAACTAAGCTTTGCCTATGTGCAGGTGGACTGACAGAATGACAAAATTTATTATTCTATTGATTTAAAGAAAACGATCCTTGACATTTTAGTGTACGAGTACATCAAAGCATAACTATAACTATCTTGAAAGCATATATTGTTATGGGCATTGGGACATCTGGACTGCCTGTTATTGTAGGAGTTTGTCCTTGCAGGCATTACCACGCTCTTTCCTTGGATGTGAACATGTTAGGACCATGAGTCATGACTGGCAAGGAATGTACCCTGCTAACTTGAAGACGGAGCTGATGTTAAAATGGTGTCACTCGGGCTCTCCTAGGCTTCTGCTTCCCTAACGCCCTTGAGGTGACTATTTTATTCTTGAGTATAAACTGTCAAATGCAAAAAGAAATGAAAGCATGTTCTGAAAATAGGATCCACTCTGTGGAATATACCCAAGTCATTTTCCTTCCTCATTCCCATGACCCGGATTCTACAGTTCCCACAGCAGAGCTGCCTGGACACTGGCCCTTCTAAGCCCACTTTCATTGATCTTTTTTATTTTTTATTTTTTATTACAACCATTGAATAGCCTCACACCTCACATTTTCAGGCAGTGAGCTCTGCTTTTTTGCATCTAGTGTGGGTTGATTTCCCATCTCAACATTAATCCCAAACTTTGTAAAGTACCTTTGTAAGGTGAGGCAGAAAGGCTGATTTCATCAGTTAGCCCAGGTACTCAAAGAAAATGTAGGCATTTATTTCTAAAACAATTGTATATGTTTAGGAAGGTAACTTTTGGATACAGTTACTGTCGACCTCAAACAATACTTGCCTGAAATCTCGTTGCATATTGACTACAGGGAATCAGACACTCCAAAGTTTGGGAGATGATGGTCCTGAACTCTAACAGGAATGATTTAGGTTGGTGTCATTTTCTGTCTTTGTTGCAGACAGTTAAAAGATAAAATGGCCTGGGTGCAGTGGCTCACACCTGTAATCCCAGCACTTTGGGAGGCCGAGGCAGGTGGATCAGGAGGTCAAGAGATTGAGACCATCCTGGCCAACATGGTGAAACCCCATCTCTACCAAACACACACACACACACACACTAGCTGGGTGTGGTGGCACACACCTGTAGTCCCAGCTACTTGGGAGGCTGAGGCAGAAGAATTGCTTGAACCTAGGAGGCGGAGGTTGCAGTGAGCCGAGATTGCACCACTGCACTACAGCCTGGTGACAGAGCGAGATTCCATCTCAAATAATAATAATAATAAATAAATAATAAAATGGAAAGTAAGAAAATATTTTCAAAAGGTTATATTTTCTAGCAAACAATAAATGGATTAATTTGAACTCTCCAGAGTTACAAAAGGCAGGGAGCTCTCCATTGCTGAATGTGTTCCAGAAGAGGCTGGAAACTGAATAGAAAATTCATGAATCAGCTGGGTGCGGTGGCTCACGCCTGTAATCCCAGCACTTTGGGAGGCCGAGGTGAGCAGATCACAAGGTCAGCAGATCCAGACCATCCTGGCTAACACGGTGAAACCCTGTCTCTACTAAAAAAATACAAAAAAAATTAGCCAGGCGTGGTGGTGGGTGCCTGTAGTCCCAGCTACTCAGGAGGCTGAGGCAGGAGAATGGCTGAACCCAGGAGACGGAGCTTGCAATGAGCCGAGATCGCCCTACTGCACTCCAGCCTGGGCGACAGAGCGAGAATCCGTCTCAAAAAAAAAAAAAAAAATTCATGAATCAAAAGTGCAGTTGTGCTTCCAGCACATTAAAGCCTCTTCTAATCTCAAGACTGAAAAGTTAACAAAACCTTCTAACAATTTCATGGGTGAGAAACAAGCGACTCCTATGAGAAAGTAATTGGTAAAGTGGGGAGAGCCATGCAAATAAAATATACTCTTGTCACCATTCAAGGTCACTCCAAACCATAAGCCTATTCTGGAGGCTCCTGGATTAACTACAGAAATTAAAAATGGACAAATGCTTTCCCCACCTACATGCACAGATTAAATCGAGTGTTTCGATGCACCAAACAGAGGCATTTCTTTCTCTCTCCTGTTTTTGTTTTTGGCATCAGCTTCCATTCTCCCTACTTTTCCAGCCATGTTCCTCAAGCAGGAACTCAGGGAGAGGCCTCCTCCCTTTGGTTGATGAGTGTGATGAATGCGATGGGGTGACTCCTACCGGACCCCAACATGATTGTCTTTGATTACAAGCTTCCACTGCTTTTTTAAAAGGGGGAGCTAAAAAATTGAATACACTTTCCTTGTTATCCAAAAACATCAGGATGGGCAAGAACAGCAGAGCTGCCCCATGAGGTGAGGCCAATCTTCCCACCTTATCTGTCAGTCACTTTTCTCATTAGAAGCACTAATTGTCTTAGGAGTGCAGGCTTATTTCCTTCTGGGTTATGATCTCTTCAATCTGACAATCTGCAGGAGATTTCTTAAGAACCTAATTGATTTACTGAACATGACACGTAAAATTTAACAGCCCAAATAATCAAAATGTTTTTGTGAGCTAAGCAGGATAATATCATTTTTTTAAAAAAGTCTGGTTATAGTACTTCTTATTGTAAAAAACAGTTGACATATGCTGTTTTTTATATTTCAAAGCAATGTTGTTTTAAAGAGAAATTTAATATGTCTTCCATAAAGAATGATACTGTAGGGGTGGGGAGAGGAAACTGGAGAAGGAAAGCAAAGTTGAGAAGTTTATTCAGTTTATTCAATACAGAAGCTAACACACGGTTTTATTATTTCACATACGAGTGTGATAATGGCAAGAATTCCAGGATGCAGCGGCTGGACCGCCTGCTCAGTCTCACAAGGCTGAAATAAAGATGTAAGTTAATGTTTTCTTCCCTAGACCCCAGGCTCCTCTTCCAAGCTTACTCCTGCTATTGGCAGGATTAAATTCCTGGCATTGGAGGACTGGGGTCCTGGTTTCCTTGTTGGCTGCCAGCCAGGACCTGTCTTGCACCCTTCAGGCCACCCTCATTCCTGCTCTCTTGGCTCCCTCCGTTTCTGAACAGCAGTACACACTGCGTCATTCTCATACTCTGAATCTCTCTGACTTCTTCTACCAGTCAAAAAAAACACTCTGCTTCAAAACTGTGTGATGACATTAGGCCCACCAGATAGTGTCCCTACTCTACAGTCAACTGTGCCATATGACACAACATAGTCATGGGATTCCCTATTCTCGTGGGCTCTGAGGGATTCGGGTGTGAAATCATGGGATCACATTGCGAATTCTGTCTACCACACATACGTAGAGAAAATATTTATTGGTTCATTTTATTTCTTATCAGATTTTTCTTTCTTCTCAATGAAATCAATATTTACTGTGCAATTGTGATACACCCCGCATGGATCAAGAGCTCTGCAGGAAAATTCCCACTGATGTATTTTACTGCCACCACCACAGTGCATACTCACAGATCACAAAATAGACCTCAGCAAATGTATTATAAAATGTGACCCAACAGGCTGGGCACGATGGCTCACTCCTGTAATCCCAGCACTTTGGGAGGCTGAGGTGGGCGGATCACGAGGTCAGGAGATCCAGACCATCCTGGCTAACACAGTGAAACCCCGTCTCTACTGAAAATACAAAAAATTAGCCGGGTGTGGTGGCGGGTGCCTGTAGTCCCAGCTACTCTGGAGGCTAAGGCAGGAGAATGGCGTGAACCCAGGAGGCGGAGCTTGCAGTGAGCCGAGATCCAGCCACTGCACTCCAGCCTGGGAGACAGAGCGAGACTCTGTCTCAAAAAAAAAAAAAAAAAAAAAAAAAGCAGAACTGCTCACAGCTGTCCTAAAACCTCCTGATTGCCCATTGCCCATCAAAGCCTCCACATGTGCCTCCACCAGGAAAGTGTGTTCTTTCCACATGCTTGCTGATATCACAGACTTAACCTTCAACCTCAGGCTCTGAGGTTCACCCTGTCCTTCATCTTCATTTCACTGATCAACTCACGTTTCTCCTTTACTCCTATATGTGGAGTCCTATATGTGGAGTCCTATCATGACACGCATGTTCCCATGTGTCATGACAGGACTCCACAGGACATGAGAGCTGTTTAACAAGACTGTGCTGGGCAGGCTGGGCGTGGTGGCTCACGCCTGCAATCCCAGCACTTTGGGAGGCCAAGGCAGGCGGATCATGAGGTTAGGAGATGGAGACCATCCTGGCTAACACGGTGAAACCCCATCTCTACTAAAAAAAATACAAAAACAAAATTAGCCGGGTGTGGTGGCGGGCTACTTGGGAGGCTGAGGCAGGAGAATGGCATGAACTCAGGAGGTGTAGCTTGCAGTGAGCTGAGATGGCACCACTGCACTCCAGCCTGGGTGACAGAGGGAGACTCTGTCTTAAAAAAAAAAAAAAAAAAAAAAAAGACTCTGCTGGGCAGTAGTGATGCTTGTGCATAGGCAAGCCTGCATTTCCCAGCCCTTAACATTAGGCAGGGCCTCATGACTAGTTCTGATCAATGAAATGTGAGCAAAAGTGAGGCCAATGCTGTCAAAGTCCCAGTGTGGTTCTCTGTTCTCTTTCTCCTGCTGCAGCAACCAGAAAGGCCATAAATTCCACCAGAAGCAGTGACAAGAGGATGGAGCCGTTGTCAGCCTAGACTCCTGAGTGTCAGTGTGAAACAGAGCTCCCCATCCACCCTCACTGGACATCTAGCATGAATGAGAAATAATCCTTTTTTTTTTCTTTTTTTTTTTTTTGAGACGGAGTCTTGCTCTGTCACCCAGGCTAGAGTGCAGCAGCACAATCTCAGCTCACTGCAACCTCTGTTTCCCAGGTTCAAGCAATTTTCCTGCCTCAGCCTTCCAAGTAGCTGGGATTACAGGCACCCGCCACCACACCCGGCTAATTTTTGTATTTTTAGTGAGAAGGAGTTTCACCATGTTGGCCAGGCTGGTCTCAAACTCCTGACCTCATGATCTACCCGCCTCGGCCTCCCAAAGTGCTGGGATTACAGGCATGAGTCACTGCGCCTAGCCCCTTTGTTGTTTTAACCTACAGAAATTTTGAAATTGCTTTACCAGTGCTTAATGTAAATTGTCCCGATTAAAATAAAAACTAAAGAACAGTATTTAAATGTGACATAATCAAGCATTCTCTTTTACCTATGGAAATATTTTAAGTGAATTCTGATAATCCACAATTCATGTAATGTTTTAAATTTTAAATTTCACAGTTTGTTTCACACTTCTCTGAAATACTTTTTTTCTCCATAGCTCAGCATACTGATTTTCACAAAGACATGTAATGTATACAGTAACATTTTAAACGTGGCTTTGAGAGATGAGATGAGAGCTGAAGCAGAGAGGTGCTAACGGCTCCAGTCACTGAGGGGCAGTGAGAAAGCAGATCGAAGGGAGGAGGATGAGTGTGACGGTTACTGTCATGTGTCAACTTGACTGGGCCACAGGATGCCCAGATAGTGGGTTAAACATTTCTGGGCATGTCTGTGAGGGTGTTTTCAAAAGAGGTATATATCTCATTAACTTTTTAATTGGCGTACTGAGTAAGGCAGATTGCCCTCCTCAATGTGAGTGGGCCCCATCCAATCCACTGAGGACTTGAATAGAACAAAAATGTCAGAGGAAGTGAGAATTCTGTCTCTGCCTTTCCCTGCCTGACTGCTCGATCCAGGACATTGCTTGGTTTCTGTCCTTGAACTCAGACTTACACCATCAGTGCTCCTGATTCTCAGGCTTTCGGACTCAGACTGGAACTATACCACCAGCTTTCCTGGGTCTCTGTCTTACAGACACAAGACAGAAGATTCTCAGCCTCCACAATTTCAGAAATGCCCCCAGTGAGTGCTGGAAATCTCTGATCAAGTGATTTCGGAGTGGTATACTGCCTAAGACTTCATTGTGTTGGAAAACCACTCACCATTACCCCTAGCAACTCAGTAGCAAATGTTGACTTCCTGTTTTCACAATCTTATGCTCTACTATAGAGGATATAGTAACTACCTAGAGGTTATAGTAACAGAGGGATGAATGCTCCCACCAGGAGACGCAACAACGACTCTACTGAACTGGAGGTTAAGAATGTCACCTGGCCACTTTGGGTTATTCATGCCTCTGAATCAACTGGCAAAGAAGGGAGTTATTGTGCTGGTTGGGGTGATTAATCCTGACTACCAAGAGAAAATTGGACTACTATTCCACAATGGAGATAAAGAAGAGTATGTCTGGAACATAGGAGGTCCCTCGAGGCACCTTTCAATATTATCATGCCTGGTGGTTAAGGTTGATGGAAAACTACAACAAACCAATCCAGGCAGGAACACTCATGGCCTAGACCCTTCAGGAATGAAGGTTTGGGCCACCACGTAAAGCAAAGAGCCATGTAGTGCTAGAGGGCTTACCGGAGGAAACAGCAATACTGAACTGTTAAAGGAAGAAGCTAATTATAAACACTAACTACAGCCACAAGACAAATTATAGAAATGAGAACTTTGTCACATATATATCTTTCTTTTTTTTTTTTTTTTTTTCCGAGATGGAGTCTCTCTCTGTCGCCCAGGCTGGAGTGCAGTGGTGTGATCTCGGCTCACTGCAAGCTCTGCCTCCCGGGTTCACGCCATTCTCCTGCCTCAGCCTCCCAAGTAGCTGGGACTACAGGCGCCCACCACCATGTCCGGCTAATTTTTTTTGTATTTTTAGTAGACAGAGGGTTTCACCATGTTAGCCAGGATGGTCTCGATCTCCTGACCTCGTGATCTGCCCTCCTTGGCCTCCCAAAGTGCTGGGATTACAGGCGTGAGCCACCGCGCCTGGCCGTCATATGTATATATTTCTTATTTAATTATAAATACACTTGTGTGTGTGTATGTGTGTGCGTGTGTGTGCGTGTGTGTGTGTGTCCTATTGGCTTTGTTTCTCTGGGAAGCTCTAACACAAAGAGGGTAATATGGTAATATTGTGACACTGGTAAGTGGTACAAACATCAGAGGTGCCAGGCTTTTCAAGGGTAGAAAAAGAAGAAATGATTTGGAAGTCGTAATGAGGCCTATGGAATTGGAGGGGGGATGATGACTAGAGAGAGGCCAATTTTCAATTAAGGCAAGAAATGGGAGAGAAGGTTTAAGTAAAGGATGTCTATATGGAAACTATACTGATCAGGAATTCCACAGAGCACAGAGAAAGGGTTTGAAGAGGAGAAGACTGATGGAAGATGGAGTCAGATTGAGGAACATTCACAAAAGTGGTGAAGGGTAGGGGTGAGAGAGGGAAATTCCAGGAGCCTGTGACAGCGGTAGGGGGGGAGGTGAGGGTCCAGATCTGTTTTCATGGGGAAAGAGCATAATAGGTTTATCATTAATGTAAGTACCCAGCCTGCTGGTGTGGCTGCCTTATGGTAACTGTGCCCTCTAAAAGACCACGTCTCTCATAAGCACCAGGAGTGTTTTGAACATGGTAGGCAAAAACTATGAGTGTGTTAATTTGAATTTAATTTCTTAGCAAATTCTGTGAAAAGACGAAGATGATTAATTCCACTTTTTTTGTATTTTCTTGTGGGCAGGAAGATCCTCCCAACTGCATATCCTGCTGCAGTATTTCCTCCCCCTGTGAGCTCACAGGCTTCTTGGTGTAATAGAATGACTCTGTTACAATTCTGTTGGCTGGAGGTTTCACCTGAGTTTCACAGCGAAGGCCAGGAGGAACTTTTAGTCAAAGCAGCAGATGTTTTTCTTTCCTGTATGTAAGTAGGAGTTTGAGTGGATCTTGGGACCTCATTGCACAAATGAAGCCAACTGAGATGCTTAAATATATATAAACATATGTCAGATGATTTTAACTTTTTCCACACTGGGCCAGGAGACCTCCAAATCAAGGTAGCACAGCAAGTTCATGCTTCAAAATTTCCCTCTTCTTTGCAAACAACAATAATAAATAAATCAAAAGAGGACACTGTCAAACAGACAGCAGGTCCAAAATGCAAAATAAAATGCCCGTGCCTTGGGATAGATGTGTGGAGAAGGAAGGGAAAGAACAGAGAAAAAGAAATGCCCCAAACACTTACCAATTAAAATCCATTTATATGTTATTAGCCAACCAAATATAGTATGGGTATTTTTTTAGAACTCAATAAACAGAGACCCCTAGAGGTATTTTTTCCTTGGTAGGTCCTTCATAGTTTTATGACAACAGTGTCCCTCTGTGCCCTGCCAGTCCTAACTCACCTCAAAAATGACTAAATATTTTCATGAACAAAGTACCTAATTCTGGCCATACCACTAATTTTATTCACTTGCTTTTACATTTCTGGGCCTCGGTTTCTTTCTCTAAATGAGGATATTGGACTAGAATTTTTAAATATTTTTGGAGCACTCTAATTTTATCTTTCTACTTTCATAATGATATTAAAATATTTCAAATATGCTTGAGATTCTCATGGTTGTTATTTATATGTATTGGTTTAAGTAAGAAGAAATATGGTAAAAGTATTAAATATACTACAATAAAATGATTGTTTTAGTATTCCCAAACAGACAACAAACATAATTACACTGCAAGAAACTCAAGTGAAATATAGATTTGAAATTCTTATTACTAATCACATCCAAATTGAGATTAACTTCTTAAACATGTAGAGGAAAATCTTAATCTATCCAAATAAATAATATGCCTCTAGCAAGAAGAAAGACTTCCTTTTGGGTTGAGTTTTACAGATTATTCCCTTACTTGTCCTTAGTCAATACCTATTTAAAGCAGATGCATCTGACTCATTTAAAGTATCCAGTCAGGAATATGAAGGCCAAATCCACATCTTCCAAGCATGAAGCAAGGAAATAAGGTATAATGATTTTCTGTCAATGAAGCTCATGCATGAAATAAAACTGGGACTCACCATGCAGACTCAAAGCACACAATGACCAAAGGGCCAGAGATCGATCCAAGGTGACTACAACACAGCCCACAATGAAAAAGTCAGGAAAGTGCCTCCGTAAATCCATGCAAAGAATGAGAAAAATAGGAGGTAAAATAAAACTGATGAGTAATAGTATTAAACTTTGCACAAGTCCTGGAAATACAGCACAGTACAACCATGGATCCAATTAGGGGCATCTGGGCTTTTCTCGCCTCTTGAGTTAGAATCAGTTAGAACAGCATTGGTTCACAAAAATTGCATACCTGGCCGAAAAAAGTAGCTCTTGGTAATTATTTCCAAATGGCTGGAGAAAAGAAAGAGGTAACATAAAACATGTGATTGAAGAGTACTGCAGCCTTGGGGCAGAAGGCTGTAAGGAAGATGGTGAATAGGACTTTCTAGCTCTTGCTCCCCTGCAGAAACATCAATTGGAACAACTATCCATGCATAAAACCACCTTCACAAGAACTAAGGAAACCAGGTAGGAGATTTCAGAAAGGATGCACTAAAGAGATAGAAAGGACAGTTGGAGTAGCAGCCCGACTGTAGCTGATCAGTAGCCCCAGACTTTGGACAAACCCCAACTCCAGGCTATCCCCCACAGACTCAGGCTCTAGGCCCACCCCAGGGCCAGGCAGCCAAAGGCTCTGGACTGCTTGCAGCACCAGGCTGGTCCCCATGGTCCCAGGATTCAGACCTACCCAAGAACCAGGCCAACTGCTACAGCTCTCATCTCCAAACAGGCACCCACAGACCCACTCTTCATATTTTCCCCTGCAGCCACACATTACAGCAGACCCACAGCCCAGTTTCTTCCTGGCAGACTCCAGCACTGGATTAGCCCCCATGGACCCAGGCTCCAAGATGACCCCTGTAGACTCAGGTTTCAGGCCAGCACCTGGAGCCCCCAGACAAAGGTCAACCCTAATGGTCCTAGCCTCCAGGCCAACACCCACACACCCAGCCCCTAGGACAACATTGTTTAAAGAAATAATCACTAAAAAATTCTTAAACCTGGGGAATAATATCAAGGTATAAGGACCAAATGTCTCCAATCAGATTCTATCCAAACAAGACTATAACAAAATGTATTATAATCAAACTATCAAAAATCAAAGACAAAGAGAGAATCCTAAAAGCAGCAAGAGAATAGAAATAAATCACATATATGAGAGTTCCAATAAGGCTAGCAGTATATTTCTTAGCAAAAACCTTACATGGCAGGAGAGAGCAAGATGATATATTCAAAGCCTCAAAGAAAAAAATCTGCCAACTAAGAATACTGTACCTGCCAAAGCAGTTCTTCACAAATAAAAGTGAGATAAAGACTTTTCCAGACAAATAAAAGCTGACTTGTCTCACAAGAAATCCTAAAGGAAGCTCTTCAGGCTGAAAGAAAGAAAAGAATGCTCATTGGTGTCATGGAAACATGAGAAAGTATAAAACTCACTGCTAAAAGTAAGTACACAGTCAAATTCAGAATATTCTAATACTGCAGTGATGGTAAGTAAATCATCTGTGTCTTTAGTATGAAGATTAAATAAATATGTATTAAAAATAATAGCTATAATAATTTGCTAAGGGATATACAATTAAAAATATAAATTATGACATCAAAGCATAAATTGGGGGCAAGGGGATGGAGTAAAAGTGGAGACTCTTTTCTATGTGATCAAAGTTAAGTTGTTACCAAATATAAACAGTCCATTATAAGAGGTTTTATGTAAGCCTAATGGTAACTACAAAATAAAAACTTATAGTAGATACACAAAGCAAAAATAAACAAAGTCAAAAATTGTTACAAGAAATGAATTAAGGTCATTATATATTGATAACTCATAAATTTATCAAGAATATAAAATACTTATAACTGTATAGACACCAAAAATCAGAACTCCAAAATACATGAAACAAACATCGATAGACTTGAAGGAAGAAGTAGATAGTACTACAATAATTGTTGGAGACTTCAATACCCCACTGCATTTGGCAAATTATATGCCCCATATCACTTGAATGTGGTCTGGCCTTGCCAAAGCTCATGTGGAAACTTGATCCTCCATGTAACACTGCTAAACGGAGGAGCCCACTGGGAGGTGTTTGGGTCAGTGGGTGTATCTCTCTCTCTCTTGCTTTCTTTTTCACCACGTGATCTCTTTGCACACGCCCACACCCCATCCACTTTCTGCCATGAGTGGAAGCAGCATGAGGGAGGCCCTCACTAGGTGCAGCTGCTCAATCTTGAACCTTCAAGTCACCAGAATCATGGGCCAAATAAACCTCTTCTCTTTATAAATTACCTAGTCACAGGTAGTCTGTTACAGCAACACTAAATGGACTCAAACAGTCACTTTCAATAACAGATAGAACATCTAGACAGAAGATCAATAAAGAAATAGAGGACTTGAAAAACACTGTAAATCAACAAGACCTAACAGACATATAGAAAATACTCCACGAGGCCAGGCGCGGTGGCTCACGCCTGTAATCCCAGCACTTTGGGAGGCCGAGGCGGGCTGATCACGAGGTCAGGACATCAAGACCATCCTGGCTAACACGGTGAAACCCCGTCTCTACTAAAGAATACAAGAAAAAAATTAGCCAGGTGTGGTGGCGGGCACCTGTAGTCCCAGCTACTTTGGAGTCTGAGGCAGGAGAATGGCGTGAACCCGGGAGGCGGAGCTTGCAGGAAGCCGAGATCTGCGGCACTGCACTCCAGCCTGGGCGACAGAGCAATACTACGTCTCAAAAAGAAAAAAAAAAGAAAATACTCCACCAAACAATTGCAAAATACACAAAGCACGTGGATCATGTGTCAGGGTAGGCCATAAAACAAGTTTCAATAAATGTAAAAAGATAAAGTTATGTAAATTATCTTCTCTGACAAATACAGAATGAAACTAAAAATCAATAACAGAAGAAAAACTGGAAAATTTACAAATATGTAGAAATTAACACAATTTTAAGCAGCCTATAGGTCAAATAAAAAGTTATAAGGGATATTAGAAAATATTTTGAGCCAAATGAAAATGAAAACATGATATACCCAAATTATGAATGTAGTCAAATCATTGCTCAGGCCAGGTGTGGTGGCTCACGCCTGTAATCCCAGCACTTTGGGAGGCCAAGGCAGGCAGATCACCTGAGGTCAGGAGTTTGAGACCAGCCTGGCCAACATGGTGAAACCCCGCTTCTACTGAAAGTACAAAAATTAGCCAGTTGTGGTGGCAGGTGCCTGTAATCCCAGTTACTTGGGAGGCTGAGGCAGGAGAATCGCTTGAACTTGGGAGGCAGAGGCTGCAGTGAGCCGAGATTGCGCCACTGCACTCCAGCCTGGGTGACAGAGCAAGACTCCGTCTCAAAAAAAAAAAAAAAATTACAAACTATTTTATGCCAACAAGTTAGATAACCTAGATGAAATTAGCAAATTCCTAGAAACACACAATCTATCAAAATTGACTCGAGAATAGAAAATCTGAATAGACCTATAACAAGTGAAGTAATTCAATCAGTAATTAAAACTTACCACCAACAACAAAAAATTTCAGGACCAGATAGCTTCTCTGATTAACTCTACCAAACATTTAAAGAGGGATTCACACCTATTGATATAATCGTATAGTTTTTGTTTAATTTTGTTTATGTGATGTATCACATTTATTGACTTGTGTATGTTAAACCATCCTTGCATCCCTGATATAAAACCCACTTGATCATGATGCATTATCTTTTTCATATGCTGTTGGATTCAGTTAGCTAGTATTTTGTTGGGGATTTTTGCATCTATGTTCAGGGATATTGGTTTGTAGTTTGTTTGCTTTGTTATGTCCTCTCCTCCTTTTGGTATTAGGGTGATACTGGCTTCCTAGACTGATTTATGGAGGATTCCCTCTTTCTCTATCTTTTGGAATAGTTTCAGTAGGATTGATAACCAGTTCTTCTTTGAATGTCTGATAGATTTCAACTGTTAATCCATCTGGTTCTCGATTCTTTTTTTGTTGGCAGTGTTTTGTTTTGTTTTTTTAATCACTGATCAATCTTGCTGCTTGTTATTGGTCTGTTCAGGGTTTCTATTTCTTCCTGATTTAGTCTAGGAGGGTTGTATATTTCCAGCAGTTTATTCATCTCCTCTAGACTTTCTAGTCTGTGCATGTAAAGGTGTTTATAATATCCTTGAACGATCTTGTGTATTTCTGTGGTATTGGTTGTACTATCTCCAGTTTCATTTCTACTTGAGGTTATATGAATCTTTTCTCTTCTTGGTTAATCTCCCTAATGGTCATCAACTTTGTTTATCATTTCAAAGAACCAGCTTTTCATTTCATTTATCTTTTGTATTTTTTGTTTCAATTTCATTTAGTTCTCTTCCATCTTTGTTATTTCTTTTCTTCTGCTGAGTTTCAGTTTAGTTTGTTCTTGTTTCTCTAGTTCCTTCAGGTATGACATTAGGTTTTCTATTTGTGTTCTTTCAGACTTTTTGACGTAGGCATTTAATGCTATAAACTTTCCTCTTAGCACCAGTTTTGCTGTATCCCAGAAGTTTTGATAAGTTGTGCCATTGTTCTCATTCATTTCAAAGAATTTTTAATTCCTATCTTGATTTCATTGTTAACCACCAAATCATTCAAGAACAGATTATGTAATTTCCATGTATTTATATCATTTTAAGTGTTCTTTCCGGAGTTGCTTTCCAGTTTTATTCCACTATGGTCTGAGAAAATACTTGATATGATTTCAATTTCGTTAAATTTGTTGGGACTTGTTTTGTAACCTATCATAGGTTATCTTGGAGAACGTTCCATGTGCTGATGAAAAAAAAATGTATATCCTGCAGTTGTTGGGAAGAATGTTTTGCAATTATCTGTTAAGTCCATTTCTTCTAGGGTTTAGTTTAAGTCCATTATTTCTTTGTTGACTTTCTGTCTTGATGACCTGTCTAGTGCTGTCAGTGGAGTATTGAAGTCCCCCACTATATTTGTACTGCTGTTTATCTCATTTCTTAGGTCTAGTAGTAATTGTTTTATAAATTTGGAAGCTCCAGTGTTAGGTGCATATAAATTTAGGATCATAATATCTTCCTGTTTGACTAATCCTTTTATCATTATATATAAATCCAGCATTCCTTTATAATAAAAACCTTCCACAAAATAAGCATAGAAGGGACATATCTTAAAGTAATAAAAGCCATATATGACAAACCCATATGCAACATCATACTGAATAGGGAAAAGCTGAAAGCATTCCCCCTGAGAACTGGAACAAGACAAGGATGCCCACTTTTACTGCTTCTACTTAACACAGTACTGGAAGTGCTGGCCAGAGAAATCAGACAAGAGAAAGAAATAAAGGGCATCCAAACTGGAAAAGAGGAAGTCAAACTGTTGCTGTTCACTGCTGATATAATTCTATACCTAGAAAACCTTAAAGACTCATCTGAAAAGCTCCTAGACCTAACAAATGAATTCAATAAAGTCTCAGGATACAAAATAAATGTACATAAATCAGTAACACTGCTATACACCAACAGTGACCAAGCTAAGAATCAAATTAAGAATTCAATTCAGCCAGGCATGGTGGCTCATGTCTGCAATCCTCAGCACTTTGGGAGGCTGAGGCAGGTAGATCACCTAAGGTCATGAGTTCGAAACCAGCCTGGCCAACATGGAAAAACCCACTCTTTACTAAAAATACAAAAATTAGCCGGGCACATTGGTGGGCACCTGTAATCCCACTTACTCAGGAGGCTAAGGCAAGAGAATCACTTGAACCTGGGAGGCAGAGGTTGCAGTGAGCTAAGATTGCACCATTGCACTCCAGCCTGGGCGACAGAATGAGACTCCATCTCAAAAAAAAAAAAAAAAAAAAGAATTCAATCCCTTTTACAACTTCAAAAGTAAAACAAAATACTTACAAATATATTTAACCAAGGAGGTGAAAGATCTCTACAAGGAAAACTACAAAACACTACTGAAAGATTCATAGATGACACAAACAAATGGAAACACATCCCACACTCACAGATGGGTAGAATAAATATTGTGAAAATGACCATACTGTCCAAAGCAATCTACAGATTCAATGCAATTCCCAACAAAATACCATCATCATTCTTTATAGAACCAGAAAAAGCAATCCTGAAATTCATATGGAACCAAAAAAGAACCTGCATAGCCAAAGCAATACTAAGCAAAAAGAACAAATCTGGAGGCATCACATTACCCAACTTCAAATTATACTACAAGGCTAAAGTCACCAAAACAGCATGGTACTGGTATAAAAGTAAGCACATAGACCAATGGAATAGAACAGAGAACACATAAATAAAGCCAACATACTTACAGCCAACTGATCTTCAACAACACAAACAAAAACATAAATTGGGGAAAGGACACTCTATTCAATAAGTGGTGCTGGGAAAACTGGGAAGCCACACATAGAAGAATGAAACTGAATCCTCATCTCTCACTTATACAAAAGTCAACTCAAAATGGCTTAAATCTAAGAAAACTTAGACTTAAATCTAAGACCTGAAGCCATAAAAATTTTAGAAGATAACATCAGAAAAAGTCTTCTAGACATTGGCTTAGGCAAAGAATTCTTGACTATGACCCCAAAAGCAATGCAACAAAAACAAAAATAAATACATGACACCTAATTAAACTAAAAAGCTTCTACTACAAAGTAAAAGAAATAATCAGCAGAGTAAACAGACAACCTACAGATTGGGAGAAAGTATTTGCAAATTATGCATTTGACAAAGGACTGATATCCAAAATCTACAAGAACTCAAACAAATCAACAGTAAAAAATAATAATAGTTCCATGAAAAAGTGGGCAAAGGACATGAATAGACAATTGTCAAAAGAAAATATACAAACATCCAACAAAGTGAAAAAAATGCTCAACATCACTAATTATCAGGGAAATACAAATTAAAACCACAATGAGATATCACCTTTCTCTTGCAAGAATGGCCATAATTAAAAAGTCAAAATACAATAGATGTTGGCGTGGATGTGGTGGAAAGGTAACACATCTACACTGCTGGTAGGAATGTAAACTAGTACAACCACTATGGAAAACAGTATGGAAAAACTAGTTTTCCACTGCGGAAAACACAGATTTTTTTTTTTGGTTTTTTATTTTATTTATTTATTTATTTTTTGAGACAGAGTCTTGCTCTGTTGCCCAGGCTAGACTGCAGTGGCACCATGTTGGCTCACTGCAAGCTCCACCTCCCAGGGTTCACGCCATTCTCCTGCCTCAGCCTCCCGAGTAGCTGGGACTACAGGCACCCGCCACCATGCCCGGCTAATTTTTTGTATTTTTTAGTAGAGACAGGGTTTCACCGTGTTAGCCATGATGGTCTTGATCTCCTGACCTCGTGATCTGCCTGCCTAGGCCTCCCAAAGTGCTGGGATTACAGGCGTGAGCCACTGCGCCAGGCCAGAAAACAGTTTTAAAG
This sequence comes from Homo sapiens, assembly GCF_000001405.40. Taxonomy (NCBI): domain Eukaryota; kingdom Metazoa; phylum Chordata; class Mammalia; order Primates; family Hominidae; genus Homo; species Homo sapiens. The sequence continues at coordinate 527,480 of NW_025791789.1, forward strand.
GACCAAAAGTAGAACTACCATTCGATCCAGCAATCCTGCTATTGGGTAAGTACCCAAAGGGAAATAAGTCACTATATGAAAAAAGATACATGCACACACATGCATGTTGATAGCAGCACAATTTGCAGTTGCAAAGATATGGAATCAACCTAAGTGCCCATCAACCAATGAGTGAATAAAGAAAATGTAGTATATATACACCATGGAATACAACTCAGACATAAAAAGAAATAAAATAATGTCTTTTGCAGCAACTTGGGTGGAGTTGGGGGCCATTATTTTAAGTGAAGTAACTCAAGAATGGAAAACCAAATATCATATGTTCTCCCTTATAAGTGGGAGCTAAGATATGAGGATGCAAATACATAAGAATGATATAATGGACTTTGGGGACTCAGGGGAAGAGTGGGAGAGGCATAAGTGATAAAAGACTACATGTTGGGTACAGTGTACACTGCTCAGGTGACAGGTACACCAAAATCTCAGAAATTACCACCAAAGAACTTATCCATGTAAGCAAAAACTACCCGTACCTCCAAAACTATTGAAATAAAAATACAAATTAAAAAACAATTAATATCTATCCTTCTCAAGCTTTTCCAAAAAATTGAAAAGGAGGGAACACTTTCTAATTTATTCTATAAGGACAGCATTACCCTGATATGAAAACCAGGGAAAGATATTCCAAGAAAAGAAAGCTACAGACCAATAACCCTTATGAATAAAGATGCAAAAATCCACAACAAAATGCTAGCAAATAAAATCCAACAGCATATTAAAAGGATTTTATACCATATCTAAGTGGAATTCAGCCCAGGAAAGCAAGGATGGTCCAACATTAGAAACCCAATGTATTATATGACATTAATAGGATAAAGGTGTGTGGGGGCGAGGAGAAATTCAGGATCATCTCAACTGCAGAAAATGCATTCAACAAAATCTGCCACACTTTCATGATAAAAATCCTCAGGCCGGGCATGGTGGCTCACATCTGTAATCCCAGCACTTTGGGAGCCGGAGGTGGGTGGATCATGAGGTCAGGAGTTTGAGACCAGGCTGGTCAACATGGTGAAACCCCGTCTGTACTAAAAAAAAAAAAAAAAAAAAAAAAATGAGCTGGGCTTGGTGGCAGGTGCCTGTAGTCCCAGCTACTCAGGAGGCTGAGGCAGAAGAATCACTTGAACCCGAGACGCGGAGGTTGCAGTAAGCCAAGATCGAGTCACTGTACTCCAACCTGGGCGACAAAGCTAGACTTCGTCTCAAAAGAAAAAAAAAATCCTCATATAAAATTAGAAATTGAAGGGGAATTCCTTAACATAAAATAAGGGCATTTATGAAAAACCCATAGTCAAAATCATATTCACTGGTTAAAGACTAAAACTTTCCCCTAAGGTCAGGAACAAAACAAGGAGGACCCCTTTTACCACTTTCATTTAACATTGTACTGGAAGTTTTAGCCAGAGAAATCAGAAATGAAAAATAAATAAGAAGCATCAAAAGATCTCTATTCACTGATAAACCTAGATATAGAAAATCCCAAAGAATCCACTACTACAGCTAATAAACAAATTCAGCAAAGGTACAGCTGAACACAAAAATCACATGTGTTCTTAGAAAGGTGCAGTGAATAATTTAAAAACTAAATTAAGACAATTCCATTTATAATAGCATAAAAATGATTTTAAAAACCTCAAATTAAATATTATCAAGGAAGTGAAAGTATTACACAATGAAAACTACAAACCATTGCTGAAAGAAATTAAAGAATACCTAAATAAATGGAAATATGCCTTGTGTTCATGGATTGGAAGACTTATATTGCCACAATGGCAATACTTAAACAGATCTAGTTTCAATACAATCTATGTCAAAATTTGAATAGCCTTTTTGCAGAAATTGAAAAGCTAATTATCAAATATGTAAGGAATTGCAAAAGATCTCGAACAGCTAAGACAGTATTATTGAAAAAGAAGAGTAAAGTTGGAGGACTCACGCTTTCTAATTTCAAAACTTATTACAAAGTTAACAATAATCAAAACAGTGTGGCACTGTTTATCCTTATGGATAAACATATAGATGAGAAAATAGAATTGTGATTCCAGAAATAAGCCCATTCATTTGTGGTGATTAATTTTTGACGGGGTGCAAAGACCATTCAATGGGGAAAGAATAGTCTCTTCAACAAATAGTGCTTAGACAACCAAATAGCCACGTGCAAAAGAATGAAGTTGAACCCTTATTTCATACCATATAGAAAAACTAACTCAAAATGTATCAAAGACCTAAATGCAAGAGCTAAATCTACAAAACTCTTAGAAGAAAACCTATGGTTAAATCTTCCTGATCTTGAATCTGAGATTAGGTTCTCAGATACAGATTAGGTACATACATGTTCTTAGACATGACCCCAAAAGCATGAACAACAAATTAAGAAATATATAAATTGGGCTCCATCAAAATTTAAAACTTTTGTACACCAAATGATATTATTAGGAAAGTTTAAAAATAGCCTACAGAATGGGAGAAAAAAATTGCAAATCTCTAAATGATGTGTCTATATAAAGAACTTTAACTACTCAACAATAGAAAGACAAACAACTCAATTAAAATCAAATGGTCAAAGAGTTTATATAGGTATTTCTCCAAAGAAGATCTACAAATGGCCAACAAGCACATGAAAAGATGTTCAATATTATTAGTTATTAGAGAAATACAAATCAAAACCACGATGAGATACCACTTCACTACCAGGATGGCTATAATTAAAAAAAAAATATTAAACACCAAGTGTTGGTGAAGATGTGGAGTAAATCATACATGGCTAGTGATGATGATGTTTGCGGAAAACAGTTTGGCAGTGGTCAAAAAGTTGAACATAGAATTACTATATGACTCAGCAATTTCACTCCTAGGTATATACCCCAAAGAAATGAAAACGAGTTCTCAAACAAATACATGTACATACATGTTCAAAAGAGCTCTATTCAAAACAGCCAAAAGTTGGAAACAACCCAGATGTCCGTCAACAGAGGAATGTATAAACAAATTATGATATACACATATAGTGGAATATTATGCAGCCATAAAAAGAAGTGGAGTACTGATAAATGCTATAACATGAATGAACCTCAAAAACATTATGCTAAATGAAAGAAGTCAGGCCCACAAAAAATTATACAGGGTTATTGTATAATTTCATTTATATGAAATATCCAGGATAGGTAAACCCATAAAACAGATCGGTGGTTGACAGAGACAGGAGGAGAGGACAGGTGGGATTTGACTGCTTACATGGTTTTATTTTGCAGTGATGAAAATATTTTGAAACTAAACAGAGGTGGTACTTCTATAACATTGTAAATATGCTCAGTGTCACCGAATTGTTCACTGTAAAATGGTTAACTTTATGTTACGTGAATTTTACCTCAATTTTTTTCTAAAAGCAAGACAAAATTATTTGCTGTATTATAAACATACAAAATTCGAAAGAGTTTGCTTTTTAAAAAAAGTAACCATTTACTGGTACCAAAACAGATATATAGACCAATGGAACAGAACAGAAGCCTCAGAAATAATGCCACACATCTACAACCATCTGATTTTTGACAAACCTGACAAAAACAAGCAATGGGGAAAGGATTCCCTATTTAATAAATGGTGTTGGGAAAACTGGCTAGCCATATGCAAAAAAACTGAAACTGGATCCCTTCCTTACACCTTATACAAAAATTAACTCAAGATGGATTAAAGACTTAAATGTTAGACCTAAAACCATAAAAACCCTAAAAACCCTAGAAGAAAACCTAGGCAATACCATTCACAACATAGGCATGAGCAAAGACTTCATGACTAAAACACCAAAAGCAATGGCAACAAAAGCCAAAACTGACAAATGAGATTTAATTAAACTAAAGAGCTTCTGCATAGCAAAGGAAACTGTCATCAGACTGAACAGGCAACCTACAGAATGGGAGAAAATTTTTGCAATCTATCCTTCTGACAAAGGGCTAATATCCAGAATCTACAAGGAACTTAAAGAAATTTACAAGTAAAAATAAAAAACCCCATCCATCAAAAAGTGGGCAAAGGATATGAACAGACACTTCTCAAAAGAAGACATTTATGTGGCCAAAAAACATATGAAAAAAAGCTCATCATCACTGGTCATTAGAGAAATGCAAATCAAAACCACAATGAGATACCAAAACCACAAAGAGATTGCCAGCTAGAATGGCAATCATTAAAAAGTCAGGAAACCACAGATGCTGGAGAGGATGTGGAGAAATAGGGATGCTTTTACACTGTGGGTAGAAGTGTGAATTAGTTCAACCATTGTGGAAGACAGTGTAGCGATTCCTCAAGGATCTAGAACCAGAAATACCATTTGACCCAGCAATACCATTACTGGGTATATAACCCAAAGGATTATAAATCATTCTACTATAAAGACACATGGAAATGTATGTTTATTGCAGCACTGTTCACAATAGCAAAGACTTGGAACCAACCCAAATGCCCATCAGTGACAGACTGGATAAAGAAAATGTGGTACATATACACCATGGAATACTATGCAGTCATAAAAAAGGATGAGTTCACATCCTTTTCAGGGACATGGATGAAGCTAGAAACCATCATTCTCAGCAAACTTACCCAGGAACAGAAAATGAAACACCCCATGTTCTCAGTCATTAAGTGGGAGTCGAACAATGAGAACACATGGACACAGGGAGGGCAACATCACACACTAGGGCCTGTCGGTGGGGGTGGGGGCCTAGGGGAAGGATAGCATTAGGAGAAATACCTAATGTTGATGATGGGGTGATGGGTGCAGCAAACCACCATAGCACGTGTACACCTATGTAACAAACCTGCACGTTCTGCATATGTATCTCAGAACTTAAAGTGTGTGTGTGTGTGTGTGTGTGTGTGTGTGTGTGTGTATACAGTCACCATTGAAACTAATAAGAAAATTTTATCGCGTGGCTAGAAACAGGTAAATTTTACAGAGCAACTTTCCTTTATGATGGAAATAATCAACCAGAAAATTGAAATAAGGAAAAAGATTATATTTGCATGTCAGAAAAACAAGAAAATACCTAGGAATAAACCTAATAAGGTAGGTTCAAGGTCTGGATGAATGTGATGTCATGTTCCTGATTGAGGAAAAATCAAGCAAAAGTTGAGGAAGCCGTGGGGAGGCAGTGGGTACACAGGGCCAGTCCCTCCTCCTGTCCCCACAGAGAACCTGTTCTGTGTCCTCCTCCTTGGGGAGCTATACCTCAGCATCATTTATACTTTACTATGTTCCTGCTAAGTGAAATGATTCAAGTGATTCCAACAGCAAATGTGTCAGACCCTATTCAAGGCATTGGGATGCACCAACTCTGACCACATAGAGCAGGGGGTGGGGATATGGAGTTGTCAGGAGGGTGAGAGGCTTACATTTTAAACGTAGGTCAATGTATGTGAAGGAAAAATACAAAATCCCATTTAGTTGCATGTATTATTTTATTCCTCTCATTCAAAATAGTAATAGTCAAAAGAGTACTATATATATATATATATATATATATATATATTTTTTTTTTTTTTTTTTTTTTTTTTAATGAAACTTAAGAAATACTGGCCAGGGCCAGGCGTGGTGGCTCACACCTGTAATCCCAGCACTTTGGGAGGCCGAGGCGGGTGGATCACGAGGTCAGGAGATCGATACCATCCTGGCTAACACAGTGAAACCCCGTCTCTACTAAAAATACAAAAACAAAATTAGATGGGTGTGGTGGCAGGCACCTGTAGTCCCAACTACTTGGGAGGCTGAGGCAGGAGAATGGCGTAAACCTGGGAGGCAGAGCTTGCAGTGAGCTGAGGTCACACCACTGCACTCCAGCCTGGGCAACAGAGCGAGATTCCGTCTAAAAAAAAAAAACTAATAAATAAAAGTCTAAAAGTTAGCCATGTTACCATCCCCTAGAAATGGTTATAACTATTTAAATATTTAAACTTCTAATGGTATATTTTGAGACAGATTATATTACAAAAATCAGTACAGAGTTGCCTGGTTTTCTGCCTCACCCTTTTAACTTAATTATAAACATTTGTAAATGTGACATTGAAAAAGTAGAATAAAATCATAAAGCATCATATATTTTTTTCTCAAAAATGTCCTAACAAAAGTGCTTTTGAGGCCGATTTTGGGAGACTCTTTTGCATAAAACTTGAGCCAGTTCATAACAGATCTTGGGTGACATTTAAAAGAGGTGACAATTGAGGAAGTTGCTGTTCCCATAAGGATCACATGAGGACAATCCCAGGAAGCCCGGCTGCAAAACCAGAGACATTGGGTACAGCCCACTGGAGCGTCAGCCTCACCGCCGGGGACACTGGTCTCAGGGATAGGAAGTGTGTGGAGGGGGTGGGAAGAAGGAATAGCAGTGCCCACAGGGTTTCCAGGGCCAAGGGGAGGCCCTCAAGGGGCCTAGGATCAGGACTGTTTACCAACCAATATTAAAGTATTTTAATATTTTAATAACCAGTGCAACCACACCAGTACATCTCAGCTAAACATCAGCCCTGGCCACAACAGTATTATTTCAATAATTAGGATGTCCACTTCCATGCAATAGTCAAAACTTTGATTTTCTCTACTTCTCCACCTCAGACCTGCTTCAAACTGGGAAGAAAGCTCACTGAGTATGTCTATCTGGGGGAAGAAAGGCATGAAAGAGAGATGAAGAACAGAAAAGGCCCTATTTATTTATTTATTTTATTTTTTTTTTTTGAGACGGAGTCTCGCTCTGTCGCCCAGGCTGGAGTGCAGTGGCGCAATCTCGGCTCACTGCAAGCTCCACCTCCCGGGTTCACGCCATTCTCCTGCCTCAGCCTCCCAAGTAGCTGGGACTACAGGCGCCCGCCACTACGCCCGGCTAATTTTTTGTATTTTTAGTAGAGACGGGGTTTCACCGTTTTAGCCGGGATGGTCTCGATCTCCTGACCTCGTGATCCGCCCGCCTCGGCCTCCCAAAGTGCTGGGATTACAGGCGTGAGCCACCGCGCCCGGCCGAAAAGGCCCTATTTAATCTGATGTTACAGAATGTTCACAACCGGCTCTATCCCTGAAAGATTCCTACTGAGAGATCCACAGTGATTTCCCATTTTGCACACCCAGTTATGTCTCAAGATACAAGCAATGTGGCTCTCCCTGCTGACTCCTTTCAGGCACCACTTCCAGCATCCGCCCCTGGAGGTGCAACCCACAGCCTCTCCGCTGGTGCCCCTCAACTCTTGGTCAGGGTCCCTTCTGCACAGCTCCACCTCAATTACCTCCTAGACTGTACTTGACTCATGGGACCCCCTTGTCATGCAAATGATGAAAGTGTAGGCACCCACACCACTTTCCTCTCTTCTTACCGTGGTTCCTGGTTCCTCTCAGTGTCTTGGACCTGTGGTTTTCACAGGCAGAGGTCCAACATTTGCTTCTTAATTTGCTCCTAGAATCCAGGGAGATGATACAAGCTCATAGAATAGCCTCCTTACAGGCCCTCCTGCCAGGCAAGGATGTGGGAGAGTAAATATTCAACCGCACCCAGCAACATTCTCCTGAGAAATCTCCCTATTCAACCATTCAATGCAATTGTCTTCTATCCTTGAATGGATCTTGAACAAAGGTCTGTCACAAAGCTATTCACCAATTCATCTGCAAAATCCAAGAAAATGATTAAGCATCATTTTTATAATGACTAAGGACTTGACATCTTTTGTTTCTTTTTTTTTTTTTTTTTGAGTCGTAGTCTTGCTCTGTCGCCCAGGCTGGAGTGCAATGGCGCGATCTCGGCTCACTGCAAGCTCTGCCTCCCGAGTTCACGCCATTCTCCTGCCTCAGCCTCCTGAGTAGCTGGGACTACAGGCGCCCACCACCACGCCCGTCTAATTTTGTTTTTGCATTTTTAGTAGAGACGGGGTTTCACCATGTTAGCCAGGATGGTCTTGATCTCCTGACCTCGTGACCTACCCGCCTTGGTCTCCCAAAGTGCTGGGATTACAGGCGTGAACCACCGCACACGGTCTGTATATTTACTCTGTTAGGGGAAATTCCTAGATATCTAATTTCTACCAAATTTTCAATGGGTATAAAAGACACTTGAAAATGTAGTGCTTATTGTCATATTGTCCTCTGTTCCTCTGTGAAGATTTGGATATTTATGTTAACAACAGCACTATATGAGTGATTGATTCCCCAGAAACCAGGATTTTTATTTTTCACTTTTTTTTTTTCTTGAGATGGAGTCTGGCTCTGCCGCCCAGGCTGTAGTGCAGTGGCGCGATCTCGGCTCACTGCAAGCTCCGCCTCCCGGGTTCACGCCATTCTCCTGCCTCAGCCTCCCGAGTAGCTGGGACTACAGGCGGCCGCCACCACGCCCGGCTAATTTTTTGTATTTTGTAGTAGAGACGGGGTTTCACCGTGTTAGCCAGGATGGTCTCATCTCCTTATCTCGTGATCCGCCCGCCTCGGCCTCCCAAAGTGCTGGGATTACAGGTGTGAGCCACGGCGCCCAGCCTATTTTTCACTTAAAAAAAAATCATAATGACAGGCAAGAGAGATATCTCATCGTGCTTCCCAATTTGCACATGAAAAATGTGTGGAACCTGGGTCAAGCTCTGTGGTCTGGCCGGTCTCAGCTTCCTGGAGTTCTCTCCAGGTAGAGAAAATGGGGAAAGTACTCTTTTCAGAAAGAACAATGTTAAGTACACGTTTGGGAATTGAATATGAAGACCACTTTGGAAAAAATCTTGAAATTTGGGCATTATTTCTATCAGCTGTGCTCAACCAGGGGAAATTTTGCCGCCTCGGGACATTCAGCAATGTCTGGAGACATTTTTATTTGTTACAACTGTTGAGGGGAGGTGGTGCAGAAGGTCTGAAGAAGAGAATGGAGAGAAAGTGTGTGTAATACAGAAATAAATTGATGGAGAGATAATATGTCCTCAGATATCCTATCAACTGGACATACTCTACTAGACAATGATAGAAAACTGAAAAAATTAAGAATGATGAACTAATAAATCAGAGACTTTAAGAACTTTAATCTTCAGGAAATTACCTAATTAGAAACCACTTAAAAATTAGAAGGAAAAAAAAGGCTGTTACATGTTCAAATTTCTTTTTGTCAATAAATGTCCCAGTTACAATTTGGGCAGATTAAAAATCAGAACCTGGAAGAAAAGAAACCAAGAACAGGCTCTCCTGTGCATAAGGAATGAAGCTGAAGTGTGGCTTGGAAACAAGAAAAGATAGAAATCACAGAAGTATTTTGAAGGAAATATAAATAAGACAGATCTGGAGAATCTGTTAAAGAGCCAAGAGAGAAAAATACAGGTTTACATCCCAGTAATATGCTTCACTTTAAAGGCAATGGGATTACCAAGTAAGGATAGCATTATACTTTACTTTCAACAAAATACCTTTATTCTGTTTACACCATTTCTTTAAATGCTCTGGTTTTCATATAGAATATCCAAACACCTGGTGTGCCTGGGACTGAGGTTATACTCAGGGTGCAGGGCTATCGGCAGTAAGATCTGGACAGTGCCAGACAAGCTGGGAGTAAGCAAACTCGCTGTATCTTCGTGGGCTTCGATGCTTCACTTTCTTATATGCTAAGCATTTCTTATTTTCATTTTATTTTTTAATTTCTCATTGTGATTTTAAAAACACATACAGGCCAGGCGTGGTGGCTCACGCGGTAATCCCAGCACTTTGGGAGGCCGAGGTGGGCGGATCACCTGAGGTCGGGAGTTCGAGACCAGCCTGGCTAACACGGTGAAAAACCCCATCTCTACTAAAAACTACAAAAAAATTAGCTGGGCCTGGTGGCGGGCACCTGTAGTCCCAGCTGCTCAGGAGGCTGAGGCAGGAGAATGGCGTGAACCCAGGAGGCAGAGCTTGCAGTGAGCCGAGATCACGCCACTGCACTCCAGCCCAGGCAACAGAGTGAGACTCTGTCTCAAAAAAATTAAAAAAAAATTAAAAATTAAAAAATATATATATATTTTAAAACACATAAGAAATTTACCATTTCAACCACTTTTTAAGTGCACAGTTCAGTAGCGTTCACTGTATGCACAGTGTTGTGTAACAAATCTCCAGAACTTTTTAATCTTGCAAACCTGAAACTAAACCAGTTAAACAACGTCTCCCCATTTCTCCATGTCCCCAGTCTCTGGCAATCACCATTGTAGTTTCTGTTTCTATGAGTTTGTCTATTTTTGAAACCTCCTATAAATGTAATCATACAATACTTGTCTTTTTGTGATTGGCTTATTTCACTTAGTACAATATCCTCAAGGTTCATTCATGTTGTAGCATGTGACAGAATTTTCTTCTTTGTTAAGGTCAAATAGTATTCCATTATATGTATATTCCACATTTTCTTTATTCATCTTTTAATAGACATTTGGGTTGCTTCCAACTCTTGACTTTTGTGAATAATGCTGCAGTTAACATGGGTATGCAGATAACTCTTTGACATAATTATTTTAGTTCTTTTGCATACATACCCAGAAGTGAGATTCCTGGATCATATAGTAGTTCTATTTTTAATTATTTGGGGAACCTCAGATCATTTTTCCATAGCAGCTGCACCATTTTTTCATTCCTACCAACAGTGTAAAAGGGTTCCAGTTTCTTCTCATCCTTCCAATATGTTTTGCTTGGTCTTTTTTTGTAGTGACCATCCTGATGGGTAGGCGATCGCTCATTGTAGTTTTAATTTGATTAAAGGCACTGAACATTTTTTTAATGTTTATACTTCTTCTTGGGAGGAATGTCTATTCAAGTTCTTGGCCCATTTTTTTAACAGATTGTCTTTTGTTGTTGACTTGTAGTGGTTCTCTATAGACAAGTATTCTGGATATTAACCCCTTTTAGATATAATTTGCAAATATTTTCTCTCATTTCACAGGTTGCTTTGTCACTGTTTCTTTGATGTGCAAAAATTTTTAAGTTTGATGTAGTCCTATTTGTCTACCTTTTTCTTTTGTTTCCTATTCTTTTGGTATCATATTCAAGAAATCATTACCAAATTCAGTGTCATGAAGCTTTTCTTACACTTTTCTCCTAGTCATTTTACAGTTGTAGGTCTCATGTCTAGGTCTTTAATCAATTTTAAGTTAATTTTTATATATGATGTAAGGTTAAGTTTCAACTTCATTCTTTTGCATGTGGATATCTAGTGTTTACAACATCAATTATTGAAGAGACTGTCCTTTCCCCATTGTTTTGTCTTGGTACCCTTGTTGAAGATCATGTATGTGAGAGTTTAATTCTGAACTTCCTGTTCTGTTTCATTGGTCTGTATATGTGTCTTTATGCCAGTGTTACACTGTCTTTAATTACTGTAGCTTCAAAATATTCTTAAAATCAAAAGTGTGAGCACTCTAACTTCATTCTTCTTTTTTAAGATTGTTTTGGCTATGCAGGGTCCCTTGAGATTCTATGTAAATTATAGAATGGTTTTATTCCATTTCTGCAAAAAAGTCATTTGCATTTTGTTAAGAATTGCATTGAATCAGTAAATCACTTTGGGTACATGGATATCTTAACACTAAGTCTTTCAATTCATGAGTACAGGATGTCTTTCTATTTATTTATGTCTCTTTAATTTCTTTCAGCAATGTCTTGTAGGTTTTTTGTGTTTTGCTGTGTTTTGTTTTGTTTTGTTGAGACAGGGTCTCACTCTGTTTGCCCAGGCTGGAGTGCAGTGGCATGATCTCGGCTCACTGCAGCCTCGACCTCCTGAGCTCAGGTGATTCTCCCACCTCAGCCTCTCAAGTAACTGGGACTACAGGCACGTGCCACCATGCCTGGCTATTTTTTGTATTTTTAGTAGAGAGGGGGTTTCGCCATGTTGCCCAACTTGGTCTTGAACTCCTGGACTCAAGCAATCCACCCACCTTGGCCTCCCAAAGTGCTGGGATTACAGGTGTGAGCCACTGCACCCAGCCTGTTTCGTAGTTTTCAGTGTGCAAGGTTTTCCCATCCTTGGTTAAGTTTATTCCAAAGTATCTTATTCTTCTTGTTACTATTGTTTATGCTTTTATAAGTTCTTGATGGGATTGTTTTCTTAAATGCGTTTTTGGATTACTGACTGTTAGTGTATAAATATGCAATTACTTTTTGTTCACTTTGGATTATAAAATTTTGTTGAATTTATTAGTTCTAACAGTTTTTAGTGCTTTCTACAATAAGATTATGTCATCTGTAAACAGAGATCATTTTACTTCTTGCTTTCCATTTTGGATAGCTGTTATTTCTTTCTCATATCTAATTTCCCAGGCTAAGACTGTCACTACTATGTTGAATAGAAGTGGTCAGTATGGGCCAGGCGTGGTGGTTCACGCCTGTAATCCCAGCACTTTGGGAGGCCAAGGCAGGAGGATCACGAGGTCAGGAGATCGAGACCATCCTGGCTAACACGGTGAAACCCCGTCTCTACTAAAAAAATACAAAAAAAAAAAAAAATTAGCCGGGCATGGTGGCGGGCGCCTGTAGTCCCAGCTACTCAGGAGGCTGAGGCAGAAGAATGGCTGAACCCGGGAGGCGGAGCTTGCAGTGAGCCGAGATCGTGCCCCTGCACCCCAGCCTGGGGAACAGAGCGAGACTCCGTCTCAAAAAAAAAAAAAAAAAAAAAGAAGTGGTCAGTATGGACATTCTTGCCTTGTTCTTTTTCTTTTTTTTTTATTATTATTATACTTTTAAGTTCTAGAGTACATGTGCACAATGTGCAAATTTGATACCTATGTATACATGTGCCATGTTGGTGTGCTGCACACATTAACTCATCATTTACATTAGGTTTATCTCCTAATGCTATCCCTCCCCCCACCCAACAACAGGCCCCAGTGTGTGATGTTCCCCTTCCTGTGTCCAAGTGTTCTGATTGTTCAATTCCCACCTATGAGTGAGAACATGCAGTGTTTGGTTTTTTATCCTTGCGATAGTTTGCTCAGAATGATGGTTTCCAGCTTCATCCATGTCCCTACAAAGGACATGAACTCATCCTTTTTTATGGCTGCATAGTATTCCATGGTGTATATGTGCCACATTTTCTTAATCCAGTCTATCATTGATTGACATTTTGGTTGGTTCCAAGTCTTTGCCATTGTGAATAGTGCTGCAATAAACATACATGTGCATGTGTCTTTATAGGAGTGTGATTTATAATCTTTTGGGTATATACCCAGTAATGGGATGGCTGGGTCAAATGGTATTTCTAGTTATAGATCCTTGAGGAATTGCCACACTGTCTTCCACAATGGTTGATCTAGTTTACAGTCCCACCCACAGTGTAAAAGCATTCCTATTTCTCCACATCCTCTCAAGCACCTGTTGTTTCCTGACTTTTTAATGATCGCCATTGTAACTGGTGTGCGATGGTATCTCATTGTGGTTTTGATTTGCATTTCTCTGATGGCCAGTGATGATGAGCATTTTTTCATGTGTCTGTTGGCTGCATAAATGTCTTCTTTTGAGAAGTGTCTGTTCATATCCTTTGCCCACTTTTTGATGGGGTTGTTTGTTTTTTTCTTGTAAATTTGTTTGAGTTCTTTGTAGATTCTGGATATTAGCCCTTTGTCAGATGAGTAGATTGCAAAAATTTTCTCCCATTCTGTAGGTTGCCTGTTCACTCTGATGGTAGTTTCTTTTGCTGTGCCCAAGCTCTTTAGTTTAATTAGATCCTATTTGTCAATTTTGGCTTTTGTTGCCATTGCTTTTGGTGTTTTAGACATGAAGTCCTTGCCCATGCCTATGTCCTGAATGGTATTGCCTAGGTTTTCTTCTAGGGTTTTTATGTTTTTAGGTCCAACATTTAAGTCTTTAATACATCTTGAATTAATTTTTGTATAAGGTGTAAGGAAGGGACCCAGTTTCAGCTTTCTACATATGGCTAGCCGGTTTTCCCAGCACCATTTGTTAAATAGGGAATCCTTTCCCCATTTCTTGTTTTTGTCAGGTTTGTCAAAGATCAGATGGTTGTAGATGTGTGGTATTATTTCTGAGGGCTCTGTTCTGTTCCATTGGTCTGTATCTCTGTTTCGGTAACAGTACCATGCTGTTTTGGTTACTATAGCCTTGTAGTATAGTTTGAAGTCAGGTAGCGTGATGCCTCCAGCTTTGTTCTTTTGGCTTAGGATTGTCTTGGCAATGTGGGCCCTTTTTTGGTTCCTATGAACTTTAAAGTAGTTTTTTCGAATTCTGTGAAGAAAGTCATTGGTAGCTTGATGGGGATGACATTGAATATATAAATTACCTTGGGCAGTATGGCCATTTTCATGATATTGATTCTTCCTATCCATGAGCATGGAATGTTCTTCCATTTGTTTGTGTCCTCTTTTATTTCGTTGAGCAGTGGTTTGTAATTCTCCTTGAAGAGGTCCTTCACATCCCTTGTAAGTTGGATTCCTAGTATTTTATTCTCTTTGGAAGCAATTGTGAATGGGTGTTCACTCATGATTTGGCTCTCTGTTTGTCTGTTATTGGTGTGTAAGAATGCTTGTGATTTTTGCTCATTGATTTTGTATCCTGAGACTTTGCTGAAGTTGCTTATCAGCTTAAGGAGATTTTTGGCTGAGATGATGGGGTTTTCTAAATATACAATCATGTCATCTGCAAACAGGGACAATTTGACTTCCTCTTTTCCTAATTGAATACCCTTTATTTCTTTCTCCTGCCTTATTGCCCTGGCCAGAACTTCCAGCACTGTGTTGAATAGGAGCAGTGAGAGAGGGCATCCCTGTCTTGTGCCAGTTTTCAAAGGGAATGCTTCCAGTTTTTGCCCATTCAGTATGATATTGGCTGTGGGTTTGTCATAGATAGCTCTTACTATTTTGAGATACATCCCATCAATACCTAATTTATTGAGAGTTTTTAGCATGAAGGGCTGTTGAATTTTGTCGAAGGCCGTTTCTGCATCTATTGAGATAATCATGTGGTTTTTTGTCTTTGGTTCTGTTTATATGCTGGATTACGTTTATTAATTCGTGTATGTTGAACTAGCCTTGCATCCCAGGGATGAAGCCCACTTGATCATGGTGGATAAGCTTTTTGATGTGCTGCTGGGTTCAGTTTGCCAGTATTTTATTGAAGATTTTTGCATCAATGTTCATCAGGGATATTGGTCTCAAATGCTCTTTTTTGTTGTTGTTGTGTCTCTGCCAGGCTTTGGTATCAGGAAGATGCTGGCCTCATAAAATGAGTTAGGAAGGATTCCCTCTTTTTCTGTTGATTGGAATAGTTTCAGAAGGAATGGTACCAGCTCCTCCTTGTACCTCTGGTAGAATTCGGCTGTGAATCCATCTGGTCCTGGACATCTTTTGGTTGGTAGGCTATTAATTATTGCCTCAATTTCAGAGCCTGTTATTGGTCTATTCAGGGATTCAACTTCTTCCTGGTTTAGTCTTGGGAGGGTGTATGTGTCCAGGAATTTATCCATTTCTTCTAGATTTTCTAGCTTATTTGCATAGAGGTGTTTATAGTATTCTCTGATGGTAGTTTGTATTTCTGTGGGATCAGTGGTGATATCCCCTTTATCATTTTTTATTGCATCTAATTCTTCTCTCTTTTCTTCTTTATTAGTCTTGCTAGCAGTCTATCAATTTTGTGGATCATTTCAAAAAACCAGCTCCTGGATTCATTGATTTTTGAAGGGTTTTTTGTGTCTCTATTTCCTTCAGTTCTGCTCTGATCTTAGTTATTTCTTGCCTTCTGCTAGCTTTTGAATGTGTTTGCTCTTGCTTCTGTAGTTCTTTTAATTGTGGTGTTAGGGTGTCAATTTTAGATCTTTTCTGTTTTCTCTTATGAGCATTTAATGCTATACATTTCCCTCTCCACACTGCTTTAAATGTGTCCCAGAGATTCTGGTATGTTGTGTCTTTGTTCTCGCTGGTTTCAAAGAACATGTTTATTTCTGCCTTCATTTCATTATGTAGCCAGTAGTCATTCAGGAGCAGGTTCTTCAGTTTCCATGTAGTTGAGTGGTTTTGATTGAGTTTCTTAATCCTGAGTTCTAGTTTGACTGCACTGTGGTCTGAGAGACAGTTTGTTATAATTTCTGTTCTTTTACATTTGCTGAGGAGTGCTTTACTTCCAACTATGTGGTCAGTTTTGGAATAAGTGTGATGTGGTGCTGAGAAGAATGTATATTCTGTTGATTTGGGGTGGAGAGTTCTGTAGATGTCTATTAAGTCTGCTTGGTGCAGAGCTGCATTCAATTCCTGGATATCCTTGTTAACTTTCTGTCTCATTGATCTGTCTAATGTTGACAGTGGGGTATTAATGTCTGCCATTATTATTGCATGGGAGTCTAAGTCTCTTTGTAGGTCTCTAAGGACTTGCTTTATGAATCTGGGTGTTCTTTTATTGGGTGCATATATATTTAGGATAGTTAGCTCTTCTTGTTGAATTGATCCCTTTACCATTATGTAATGGCCTTCTTTGTCTCTTCTGATTTTTGTTGGTTTAAAGTCTGTTTTATCAGAGACTAAGATCACAATCCCTGCCTTTTTCTGTTTTCCATTTTCTTGGTAGATCTTCCTCCATCCCTTTATTTTGAGCCTATGTGTGTCTCTGCACGTGAGATGGGTCTCCTGAATACAGCACACTGATGGGTCTTGACTCTTTATCCAATTTGCCAGTCTGTGTCTTTTAATTGGAGCGTTTAGCCCATTTACATTTAACGTTAATATTGTTATGTGTGAATTTGATCCTGTCATTATGATGTTAGCTGGTTAGTTTGCTCATTAGTTGATGCAGTTTCTTCCTAGCATCGATGGCCTTTACAATCTGGCATATTTTTGCAGTGACTTGTACCGGTTTTTCCTTTCCATGTTTAGTGCTTCTTTCAAGAGCTCTTGTAGGGCAGGCCTGGTAGTGACAAAAATCTCTCAGAATTTGCTGGTCTGTAAAGGATTTTATTTCTCCTTCTCTTATGAAGCTTAGTTTGGCTGGATATGAAACTCTGGGTTGAAAATTCTTTTCTTTAAGAATGTTGAATATTGGCCCCCACTCTCTTCTGGCTTGTAGAGTTTCTGCCGAGAGATCCTCTGTTAGTTTGATGGGCTTCCCTTTGTGGGTAACCTGACCTTTCTCTCTGGCTGCCCTTGACATTTTTTCCTTCATTTCAACTTTGATGAATCTGACAGTTATGTGTCTTGGAGTTGCTCTTCTCAAGGAGTATCTTTGTGGCATTCTCTGTATTTCCTGAATTTGAATGTTGGCCTGCCTTGCTAGCTTGGGAAAGTTCTCCTGGATAATATCCTGCAAAGTGTTTTCCAACTTGGTTCCATTTCTCCCCGTCACTTTCAGGTACACCAATCAGACATAGATTTGGTCTTTTCACATAGTCCCATATTTCTTGGAGGCTTTGTTCGTTTCTTTTTACTCTTTTTTCTCTAAACTTCTCTTCTCACTTCATTTCATTCATCTGATCTTCAACCACTGATCGAATCGGCTACTGAAGCTTGTGCATTCGTCACGTAGTTCTTGTGCCACGGTTTTCAGTCCATCAGGTCCTTTAAGGTCTTCTCTACACTGGTTATTCTAGTCAGCCATTCGTCTAATCTTTTTTCAAGGTTTTTAGCTTCTTTGCGATGGGTTCAAACTTCCTCCTTTAGCTTGGAGAAGTTTGATCATCTGAAGCTTTCTTCTCTTGTCAAAGTCATTGTCTGTCCAGCTTAGTTCCATTGCTGGAGAGGAGCTGCATTCCTTTGGAAGGGGAGAGGCACTCTGATTTTTAGAATTTTCAGCTTTTCTGCCCTGTTTTTTCCCCATCTTTGTGGTTTTATCTACCTTTGGTCTTTGATGATGGTGACGTACAGATGGGGTTTTGGTGTGGATGTCCTTTCTGTTTGTTAGTTTTCCTTCTAACAGGCAGGACTCTCAGCTGCAGGTCTGTTGGAGTTTGCTGGAGGTCCACTCCAGCCCCTGTTTGCCTGGGTATCAGCAGCGGAGGCTGCAGAACAGTGAATATTGCTGAACAGCAAATCTTGCTGCCTGATTGCTCTTCTGGAAGCTTCATCTCAGTGTGGTACCTGGCCGTGTAAGGTGTCAGTCTGCCCCTACTGGATGGTGCCTCCCAGTTAGGCTACTCAGGGGTCAGGGACCCACTTGAGGAGGCAGTCTATCTGTTCTCAGATCTCAAACTCCATGCTGGGAGAACCACTACTCTCCTCAAAGCTGTCAGACAGGGACATTTAAGTCTGCAGAGGTTTCTGCTGCCTTTTGTTCAGCTATGCCCTGTCCCCAGAGGTGGAGTCTACAGAGGCAGGCAGGCCTCCTTGAGCTGTTGTGGGCTCCACACAGTTCGAGCTTCCAGGCCACTTTGTTTACCTACTCAAGCCTCAGCAATGGCAGGTGCCCCTTCCCCAGCCTCACTGCCGCCTTGCAGTTCAATCTCAGACTGCTGTGCTAGCAATAAGTGAGGCTCCGTGGGCATGGGACCCTCCGAGCCATGCACGGGATATAATCTCCTGGTGTGCTGTTTGCTAAGACCATTGGAAAAGTGCAGTATTAGGGTGGGAGTGACCCAATTTTCCAGGTGCCTTCTGTCACTGCTTCCCTTGGCTAGGAAAGGGAATTCCCTGACCCCTTGTGCTTCCCAGGTGAGGCGACGCCTTGCCCTGCTTCAGCTCATGCTCAGTGGGCTGCACCCACTGTCCTGCCCCCACTATCTGACAAGCCCCAGTGAGATGAAGCCAGTACCTCAGTTGGAAATGCAGAAATCACCCATCTTCTCCATCACTTACGCTGGGAGCTTAGACTGGAGCTGTTCCTATTCGGCCATCTTGGAACTGCCCCGCCTTGTTCTTGATCTTAGGGAAAGTTTTCAGGTTTTCATCATTGAGTATGGTGTTAGCCCTGTATGTGTGCACACATATTATATTTATATAACATTTATGTGTATATCTATACATATACATACATACTTATTCAAACCCACACATAACATTTATTATGTTGAGGTAATTTTTTTCTACTCTTCGTTTCTTAATTTTGTCATGAAAGGGTGTTCAATTTTGTCACATGCTTTTTCTGAATCAATTAAGATGATTGTGTGCTTTTTGTCTTTTATTCTGTTAATGCAATGTATTACACTGATTTTCATATATTGAACTATCCTTGCATTAGGAGGAATAAAACCTGGTCACAATATATAGTTCTTTGAATGTACTGTTAAATTCAGTTTGCAAATATTTTGTTGAGGATTTTTCATTAATATTCATCAGGTGTAATAATCTATAGTTTTCTTGTATCTTTGTCTAGGTTTGGTATCAGGGTAATGTTGCCCTTATAAAATAAGTTTAGAAGTGTTTTCTCTCTGTGATTTTTTTGGAAGAGGTTAAGGATAATTATTAATTTTTCTTTAAATGTTTGGTAGATTCTCCAGTGAAATCATTTGGGTCTGGTCCATTTTTTGTTGGGAGATTTTTGAATACTGATTTATTCTCCTTACTAGTTACACATCTGTTCAGATTTCTTTATTTCTTCATGATTCCATCTTGGTAGGTTGTATCTTACCACGAATTCACCCATTTCTTCTAGTTTGCCTAACTCGTTGGCTTATAATTGTTCTTAGTAGTCCCTTATAATCCTTTCTATTTCTGTGGCATCAGTTATAATATCTGATAAAAAATGAATGAGGCATTCATTTCTGATTTTAGTTATTTGAGTATTCTCTCTTTTTCTTAATATAGCTAAAGGATTTTCAATTTTGTTGTTATTTTTTAAATCTAACTTTTATAAAAGTTATTCTTTATTCCATTTATTCTTACTCTAATCTTTATATTCTTCCTTCTGCTAACTTTGGATTTAGTTTGTTCTCTTTTACTGGTTCCTTTGTGTATAAAATTAACTTGTTGATTTGAGACCTTTCTTTTCTTTTTTTTGAGACGGAGTCTCACTCTGTTGCCCAGGCTGGAGTGCAGTGGTGCCATCTCAGCTCACTGCAAGCTCTGCCTCCCGGGTTCACACCATACTCCTGCCTCAGCCTCCTGTAGTGGGAACTCCAGGCACCCGCCACCATGCCAGGCTAATATTTTGTGTTTTTAGTAGAGACGGGGTTTCGTCGTGTTAGCCAGGATGGTCTCAATCTCCTGAACTTGTGATCCGCCCACCTCAGCCTCCCAAAGTGCTGGGATTACAGGCATGAGACACCGCGCCCTGCCAAGAGGCCTTTCTTTTTTTTATGGCATATTCCACTATAAAATTCTCTCTTAGTATTGCTTTTGCTGCTTCTGTAAGTTTTAGTGTGTTGTATTTTTGTTTCTTTTTTACAAATTATTTTGCAATTTTCCTTGTGATTCCTTCTTTGATTCATTGGTTATTTAAGAGCGTGTTGATTAAATTCTGCATATTCATGAATTTTCCAGTTTTTCTTCTGCTAT
The DNA here is from genome assembly GCF_000001405.40 of Homo sapiens. Taxonomy (NCBI): domain Eukaryota; kingdom Metazoa; phylum Chordata; class Mammalia; order Primates; family Hominidae; genus Homo; species Homo sapiens. The sequence continues at coordinate 547,919 of NW_025791789.1, forward strand.
TGATTTCTAGTTTCATTCTATTGTACTGGGAAAAATACTTGATATTATTTCAATCTGCTTAAAACTGTTAAGACTTGTTTAGTGGTCTAGTATGTGGTCTTTCTCGCAGAATGTTCCAACTGTGCTTGAGAAGAATGTGTATTCTGCCATTGTTGGGTGAAATGTTGTATGGATGTGTATTTGGTCCATTTGGTCTATGATGTTATTCATGTCCTCTGTCCCATTATTGATCTTCTGCTGGCTGTTCTACCCATTATTGAAAGTGGAGTATTGAATCCTACTATTATTGTATGCTGTTTATTTCTCCCTTGAATCTTGTCAATGTCTGCTTCACATATTTGAGAACACTGACGTTAGGTGTGTATATATTTATAATTATTATATTTTCCTGGTAAATGGACCAGGTTATTATATATTGTTCTTTGTACCTTGTGATATTTTTTACTTAATGACTATTTTTTTTCTGGTATAGATGTAGCCACCTATACTCTGTTTTTGTATACTCTCTTTTTGTTACAATTTGCAGGGAGTATCTTTTCTATTCTTTTACTTTCACCTTATATGTCTCCTTAGATTTAAAGTGAGTCTCTTGTACACAGCATATAGTAGAATTTTTTAATCCATTCAGCCAACCTGTCTTTTTATTGGGGAAACTAGTCTATTTACATGAAAGATATTACTAATATGGAAGAACTGCTATTGACATTTTATTCATTGTGTTTTTGTATGCCTTGTAGCTATTTTGTACCTCTCTCTCTCTGGCATCCTTCCTTTTTGTTTCATTGATTTTCTTTTTGGTAGTATATGCCTTGATTTCTTTTTCATTTTCTTTTGTGTATTTTCATTAGCTATTTTCTTTGTGGTTACTGAAAGGATCACATTTTCTTTTGTGTACATTCACAAGCTGTTCTCTTTGTGGTTACCATGGGGATCACATAAAACATCTTAAAGTTTCAACAATATATTTTAAACTGGTAACAACTTCAATCACATGCAAAAACTCTACTTCTTTTACGTCTTGCCTCCCACTTTATGTTTCTGATATTCCAAATTCTCTCTTGAGCATACTGTGCTGTGCACACTAGTTGAAGGGGGTATCACAAGTAAATATAATACACTTTCTTATCCACTTCAATACAGCTCTTCTTGGCTTTGGATTTACCTGGGGTGCTGCAACATAAGTTGTTTCTGGAGTTCCAAAAAAGGTAATTTGTTCCATATATTGTTGTTAAGTTGCTGTCTCTATTGGGGAACAAGGCCTAGGGCTCCCTATTCCACCATTTTGGTGACAACACTATTATCATAGTTTTAACTGAAGACACTAATTGTCTTCCTGACCAAGCCAAGAATTGTTTCAAAATTTCTTTTCCATCTTTTGAAGGGTGATTTCACAATTAATCATTAAAATGTGTCTTAAATATCTATCTTTAGTCTTGATGCTTAATTTAAGAACCTATTTTTGTTTCTCTTTTATCATTTAATTCCATGAAGAAACAGGTAAAAGTTAAACAAAAGACTAGATAATACTATACACTTTCCCTTCTCAGTCATTTCTTGGATGAGACAAATCAAAGTTAGGCAAGTAGTCTAGGAAATTAATAGTACAATGTTATCTGTGCCTCCAAATTAAGCCCTTTTTATCTCCAAACTGGATTCTGGCAGGCCATAGTCAAGGGCCTATTTATTTCTTTTTCCCTGAATTTTTTGTTCAGATGCTGTAATTTAAAAGACTCATGTTCTTACAGATTCAAGAATAGCCAAGTATTTTACTTGAAAATATCTGTCAGGCCAACATTTTATTTGGGAGCAGGAGTGAAAACTTCTGATCATGATTCTGTGACATGTAGATATCATGTAGTATAATTTAATTGTATCTTTCTGAGATTTTGTACTTACAAGTTTCATAGAAATCCATTTACAAATGAAAGGTTTTAAATTTGGAAACTTTTATTGGTTACCACTTTGAGACAATTAAACAAACTAAAGAACCATGGAAACATGAAGTCTACGCACTAAACTAGTCAGTGGCCTACTAACTAAAAATGAAATTAAATTTTCTGGCAGCAGCAAATGGATTAAAATGAAAAAAGAAAAGCCTGGAACCTGATGATAGCTTTACTGCTGAATTTTGCCAGACATTTAAAGAAGAACTAATACCAATCCTACTCAAACTATTCCAAAAAATTGAAGAGGAGGGAATACTTCCAATCACATTCTACAAGGCCAGTATTACCTTTATGCCAAAGCCAGACAAACACACAACAGAAAAAGAAAACTACAGGCCAATATCTCTGATTAATGTTGATGCAAAAATCCTCAACAAAATACTAGTAAATCAAATTCAACAACGAATTTAAAAAATCATTTAATATGACCAAATGAAATTTATTCCAGGAATGTAAGGATGGTTCACCATATGCAAATCAATCAGTGTGATACAACATATCAACAGAATGATACATCATATCAACAAAAACCATATGATAATTTCAAATAATTCTGAAAAAAATTCAATAAAAATCTACACCCTTCATGATAAAAAAAAACTCCCAAAAAGATTGGTAAGGAAGGAATGTATGTAAACATAATAAAGCCATATACAACAGTCTTACAGCTAGTAACATTCTGAATGGGAAAAAACTGAAAGCTTTTCCTCTAAGATCTAGAAGAACATAAGGATGCCCACTTTCACTTCTATTATTCATCATAGCACTGGAAGTCCTAGACAGAACAATTAGACAAGAGAAAGAAATAAATGGCATCCAGATTGGGACAGGAAAAGTCAAATTATTCTTGTTCGCAGATGATATAATCTTATAATTTAGAAAAACCTAAGGACTCCACCAAAAAATTATTAGAGCTGATTGACAAATTCAGCAAAGTTGCAGGATACAAAATCAGTATACAAAAAACAGTAGCATTTCTATATGCCAACAGCAAACAATCTGAAAAAGAAATCAAGAATGTAACCCAATTTATAATTGCTACAAATAAAATACATAGAAATAAACTTAACCAAAGAAGTAAAAGATCTCTATAATAAAAACTGTAAAATACTGATGAAGGAAATTGAGGAGTACACAAAGAAATGGAAAGATATTTTATGTTTATGGGTTGGAAGAATCAATATTGTTACATCCATACTGCCCATATGGTAAGACTGTTGTATATGGCTTTATTATGTTTACATACATTCCTTCTTTACCAATCTTTTTGGGAGTTTTTTTATCATGAAGGTTGTAGATTTTTATTGAATGTTTTTTCAGAATTATTTGAAATTATCATATGGTTTTTGTTGATATGATGTATCATTCTGTTGATATGTTGTATCACACTGATTGATTTGCATATGGTGAACCATCCTTACATTCCTGGAATAAATTTCATTTGGTCATATTAAATGATTTTTTAAATTCGTTGTTGAATTTGATTTACTAGTATTTTGTTGAGGATTTTTGCATCAACATTAATCAGAGATATTGGCCTGTAGTTTTCTTTTTCTGTTGTGTGTTTGTCTGGCTTTGGCATAAAGGTAATACTGGCCTTGTAGAATGTGTTTGGAAGTATTCCCTCCTCTTCAATTTTTTGGAATAGTTTGAGTAGGATTGGTATTAGTTCTTCTTTAAATGTCTGGCAAAATTCAGCAGTAAAGCTATCATCAGGTTCCAGGCTTTTCTTTTTTCATTTTAATCCATTTGCTGCTGCCCAAATGGATTTAATCCATACTGCCCAAAGCAATTTAATCCATACTGCCCAAAGCAATCTACAGATTCAATGTAATCCCTATCAAAATACCAACAACATTCTTCACAGAAATAGAAAAAAATGATTCTAATATTTGCATGGAATCACAAAAGACCCAGAATAGACAAAGCCATCCTGAACAAAAAGAAGAAAACTGGAGGAATCAAATTACCTGACTTCAAATTATACTACAGAGCTATAGTAACCAAAACAGCATGATACTGGCCTAAAAGAAAGACATATAGACCAATGGAACAGAATAGAGAATCAGAAATTAACCCATACATCCACAGTGAACTCATTTTTTTTTTGAGACGGAGTCTCGCTCTGTTGCCCAGGCTGGAGTGCAGTGGCGTGATTTCAGCTCACTGCAAGCTCTGCCTCCTGGGTTCCCACCATTCTCCTGCCTCAGCCTCCCATGTAGCTGGGACTACAGGCTCCACCACCCTGCCTGGCTAATATTTTTGTATTTTTAGTAGAGATGGGGTTTCACCATGTTAGCCAGGATGGTCTCAATCTCCTGACCTCATGATCCGCCTGCCTCGGCCTCCCAAAGTGCTGGGATTGCAGGAGTGAGCCACCACGCCCAGCCAGTGAACTCATTTTTTACAATGATGTCAAGAACATACATTGGGGAAATAGTTTCTTTAATACATGGTGCTTGGAAAATGGGATATCCATATGCAGAAGAATGAAACGAGACCCTTATCTCTCACCATATACAAAAATTAAATCAAAATGAATTAAAAACTTAAATGTGAGACCTGAAACTATAAAACTTCTAAGAAAATTGGGGAAACTCTCTAGAACATTGGTCTGGGCAAAGAATTCTTGATAATACCTGAAAAGCACAGGCAACCAATGCAAAAATGAACAAATGGGATTATATCAAGTTAAAAGGCTTCTGCACAGCCAAGGAAATAACAAAGTGAAGAGACAATCCACAGAATGGGAGAAAATATTTGCAAACTATCCATCTGACAAGAGTTTGATAACCAGAATATATAAGGAGCTCAAACAAGTCAATAGGAAAAAAATCTAATAATCCAATTTTAAAATAGGCCAAAGATCTGAAGAGAAATTTCTCAAAATAAGACATACAAATGGCCAACAGGTATATGAAAAATGTTCAACATTATTAATCATCAGAAAAATGCAAATAAAATATGAGATATCATCTAACCCTAGTTAAAATGGCTCTTATCCAAAAGATAGACAATAAAAAGTGCTTGTGAGGATGTGGAGAAAGAGGAACCCTCATACACTATTGGTGGGAATGTAAATTAGTACAGCCACTATGGAGAAAAGTATGGAATTTTCTCAAAAAACTACAAATAGAACCAGCATATGATCCCACCTTTAGGTATATACCCCAAAGAAAAGAATCAGTATATTGAAGAGATATCTGCACTCCCACGTTTATTGAAGCACTGTTCACAATAGTCAAGATTTGGAATCAACCTACTTGTCTAACTACAGATAAATGAATTTTTTAAGATGTGGTGCATATACAGAAGGGAATATTATTCATCCATAAAAACATGAAATCCTGTCATTTGCAACAGCATGGATGGAACTGGAGGGCATTAAGTTAAGTGAAATAAGCTAGGCACAGAAAGACAAATTTTGCAATGTCTCACCCATATGTGGGTGCTAAAAATTAAAGCAATTGAACTCATGGAGATATACAGTAGAATGATGGTTACCAGAGGCTGAGAAGGGTAACAGGGAGTAGAGGGAAAAGTAGGGCTGGTTAATGGGTAGGAAAACATAATGAGATAGAATTAAAAATATCTGGTATGTGATAGCGCAATAGGGTGACTATAGTCAACAATAATTTAGTGTATATTTTTAAATAACTAAAAGAGTAGAATTGGAATATTCCTGCCACAAAGAAATGATTAATGGTTGAGATAATTACTACCCCAATTACCTTAATAGTGTGCCTGTATCAAATCATCACATGTACCCCGTAAACATATGGACTATTTACCCATAAAAATTAAAAATTAAAAATGGAGACAATAGTCACCCTGAGTCGAATTACCTGATGCTTCAGAACCACCAACTGCTGCTTCTAACTTATTCTAGTATCCACTTTCTTCCCCTGTTGCTGAAATTTACAGTTGAAATAAAATGAATCTGCTTAATTTTATGCCTGTTTTGCTTGATTCAGTTACCAGTGTGGATTATTTCTTTCCAATGGGAAGCTATTTGAGTGCACATAATTACTACACCACGTTTCTTGTGTGACCTCAGGCGATTTTCATCAGGAACAGCATTAAGCTGGTGAGGAGATAACAGTGTTCTCCTTTTCATTGCCTTCCTCTGGGTAAACTGATTTGCACATGGCTAAATGGTTTTCCCTGGTTTCTCTATGCAGACACTTTTCTACAAATTATGCATGATGCTAGGTATAGTCCAAAACCAGGCAAAAGCAGCAGGCTATAATTTGTTCACCCATAATTTGCATTTCACTGCATAAAGTGATTTCAACTGCACCAAAATTTTTTCATTCAGAGTGAATAACTAGATTCTCAAAGATGAAATGTTTGAGCCCCCGATTCCAGGGAAATTGAACACCATTTCTTCAACCTTCAGTATTTTGACTTTTTTTGTCCTTAAGCCTTAAATAGCAGCTTGATGTGCAACAAAATAAGCATTTTAAATTTATACCCACCAAAAACATACTGAAAGTATCTGAATTATGTCCAATCTTTCTCCTCCACCCCTCATTTTCTATACCGAGGTAGCAACATAAGGTGAGACTTTAAAGAACTAAAGAGATTGGACCAAGAAGAAAAGAAAAGGAAGCTGAATGCTCGAGTTTACTGTTTATAAACCACATGTTACCCTAATTTGGCATTTGGCAAGCACATTGAATGCCCATTTCATTTGGCTTTTTCCATCCCTTTCTGCATGGATAAATCCACTTTCACCTGCAGGGTTTCTGTGTGTGTGTGTGTGTATGTGCGCATTTGCTGGAACTTCAGCTTTTTTCTCTCTTCTGACTGATTTTTCTCCTCCTACTCTATTCATAACTCTTACTTCTTACAATTTTTAGTTCAGAGACTAACAGAATAAGAAATCCTTGGAGATCTCTTAACCCTTTCATTTTGAAGATGAGAATATTGAATACTATTGATATGCCTGACTCAGTGAGAAATTATTTTTATTTTTTTCTAAAAGGCCAATATCTGAAATGCTGCACTGAATAATACGTTTCTCCCCTCATTGATACATGAAGCTTCTTTTATCAAATATCCTACCTAGTCTGTTTTAAAACTCTCTATCTTGTTTTAATAAATTATCTATCTATCCTTGTTCCTTATCATACTATTTTAACAATAACATTTTAATCACAGGAACCTTTTCCTCCAAACTTATCTGTGCAATTTATGCTTGCTGTTTACCTGGTAGGATATTTTCAAGTCAATTTTTTAAGTAGTAAAAAAACAAAAACAAAGTCCAATTGAAATTATTATTGGAATCAAAATTAAATTACACATTATTTTTTAAAGAAATTCAATCTGGCCTGGCACGGTGGTGCATACCTGTAATCCCATCACTTTGGGAGGCTGAGGTGGGCGGGTCACCTGAGGTCAGAAGTTTAAGACCAGCCTGCCAAACATGGTGAAGCCCCGACTCTACTAAAAATACAAAAATTAACCAGGCTTGTTGGCGCATGCCTGTGATCCCAGCTACTTGGGAGGTTGAGGCAGGATAACTGCTTGAGCCCACGAGGCAGAGGTTACAGTGAGCAGAGATCACACCACTGCACTCCAGCCTGGGTGACAGAGCAAGACTATGTCTCAAAAAAAAAAAAAAAATTCAATCTTTGCCATGTTTAGTTTTTCCATCAAAGATACAGAATGCCTACTCTATTATTCAAAGCTTCATTTACTTTTCATTCTCTCGTGTTAGCCTAATATAGTCTTCATGATTACCAATCCTATGTTTGTATTTTTTGGCAATATTATTTATGTTGTCTATGTTTCCATTATATCTTTTAATTAAGATTTTAGGCCCGGCGTGGTGGCTCACGCCTGTAATCCCAGCACTTTGGGAGGCTGAGGCAGGCAGATCATGAGGTCAGGAGTTTGAGACCAGCCTGGCCAACATGGTGAAACCCTGTCTCTACTAAAAATACAAAAATTAGCAGGGCGTGCTGGCGAGCACCTGTAATCCCAGCTACTCGGGAGGCTGAGGCAGGGAGAATCACTTCAACCCGGGAGGCAGAGGTTGCAGTGAGCCTTGATTGCACCACTGCACTGCAGCCTGGGGTACACAGCGAGACTCTGTTGCAAAAAATAAAAAAAAAAAATAAAGATTTTATCGATACAGGTATGCAAGTTCTTATTTTTTGTGCAAACTTGTTTCTAGTCACTTTACCAAACTTATTGCTGGATAGAGGTTTTCATTAGCTAATTCTCTTGGATGTCTGACCTTTAAAGTTATATTATTTGAAAAAAATTAAATTATCTACACAAAAGTTCTGGAATCTTCACCATCTTGCTTTGTCCTGCCAGGCCTGCCTCTGCCCTCCAGAATAAAAGGGCCCTGGGAGTGAAGTTGGAAGAGTTTCGCCACCCTTTACCCCAAATGGGCCTCTGGTCCATGGAATATTCCTGGAGGGGACATTTGTGGTGGCCCGTGGAAGACAGCAGACCAGTGAACATTGTAGCAATGAAGGTAAAATAAGTTGTATTTCCAAAATAGTTTTTAATATAGCATCACATACTTCCACAACAATAATTAATTGGTCTCTTTGTTTTAATAGTTAAACGTTTATTTCTGCTGTTTCATGTTTTATCACAAGGACCAAAAGACCCAGAATGATTTGAATGTAGAACTGGGAACACAGGGAGCCTATAGGAGAATTCCCCCAAATGAACAGGTGGCTAAAGGCAAATGCCTCTCCTGACACATCAGAGCTGGGGCAGTCCCAAATGAGAGCTCCCTGGGGAGGCCCCAGGCTGTGGGGCGGCCACCTCTGGAGTGTGGATTCCACAGGAACTCAGAGGAGAGGTAAGGGGGAGGCCTTAAGGCCCCGGAGCTGAGATGATGGAAAACCAGAGTCTGTGCTGTTTCATGGAGCACCTGGGGGAATCTGGAATGGGATCCTCTATCCCATGTCACCTATAAGAGAGATCATTGGCTTGGCTTTCTTTCCAGAAGCTGGGAAATATTCCTTTTATTTTATTATGTTTGCATTTATATTTTTCTTTTTTTTGGGGGGCAGTTTTTTAGTTTTGTAAAGAGTGTTCTGAATGGTAGAGAGAGGAGGTGGTGTGCGGTGTTTCAGCTTGTACTCAAAGCTCCAGCACCGTATTTCGCCTGCGCTACACCTACGGTGCTGAACCTCGACTGGCACAGCATTTGTCAGACTCCTCCTGGATGGACATTCCACGTCACTGACTATAAATTTCAAAAGGCTCCACAGAAAACTTCACCACACCAGGGTCACATTCTCAGAATAGAAGCACTCTTCTAACAGTCACATGAAATGAACATCAATGTCCCAGATGTTCCTACGCACCCTTGAGTCACTTTCTATTAGAGGAATAATCACGATTTGCCTTCCTTGATGTCTGAATTTATTTATATTGTAATGTTACTTATCTACTCACTTCACAGGTGTGGATGAGTCACAAATGGCAGCTAGAATCTTGACTAACTGCCTCTCACTGATGAATAAAACGGCAAGCTTTTGTAGGTTGAGCAAGGTTATTTGGAAGAGAAGTAATCTTTTTCTGTGTAGGCAAAATGCATGCAGTTTGTCCAGCCTAAGAGAAAGTGAGAAACATTGAGAAAATTAGACATTTAGCTACAAAGCTAAGGAAATTAAACATTAAGCTACAAAGTTAAGGAAATAATTATGAGTTATTAGTTAATTCCAGTAGGGAAACCCCAATTGGCTTGGTGTCATCATTATGACAGTAAACTCAGTTTAAAAATTGTTATAGTAGTTTTATTCACAGGAGACCAAAACTGCAAACAACCCAAATCAAAACTTGAATGGAATACTATATAGCAATGAAAAATAATGGATCACTGCCATTCAAAAGAATATGAATGACTCTCAAAGGCATAACGTTGAGAAAAATAACACAGATCTGGAGAGTATTGTAATTACCACTGCATACAGCATGGGGGAGGAGGTAATACATGCAATGGGCCCCTGGGGAACTTTCTAGGTGCTAGAAATGTTGTATATCTTTATATGAGAAGTGGTTGTATGCTGTAGAAGTATGTAAAAGTTCATTGAATTGTACATGTAAGATTAGTGTACTTTCTTTTTTTTTTTTTTTTTTTTTTTTGAGACGGAGTCTCGCTGTCGCCCAGGCTGGAGTGCAGTGGCGCAATCTCGGCTCACTGCAGGCTCCGCCCCCTGGGGTTCACGCCATTCTCCTGCCTCAGCCTCCCGAGAAGCTGGGACTACAGGCGCCCGCCACCTCGCCCGGCTAATTTTTTGTATTTTTAGTAGAGACGGGGTTTCACCGTGTTAGCCAGGATGGTCTCGATCTCCTGACCTCGTGATCTGCCCGCCTCGGCCTCCCAAAGTGCTGGGATTACAGGCGTGAGCCACCGCGCCCGGCCTAGTGTACTTTCTTATACTCTGTGTAAGTTATACCGCATTAATAATAATAATGCCAGTCCTTGAGGAAATGGTTAATTCCGGGTCTGGGCAATAGAAGTAGTCGGTGAACAGTTACCTTGTTATGTCAGAAATCAAGGGAGCACTGAAAGCACAAGAGGGCTGCGCCAGAGCAACACGAGAGCCCGCTTGAAGAGGTTCACGTGGGAGTGCATGGGTTTTTCTCAGAGAGAAGAGGAGGATAACTTCTTCACCAAAAAATACTAGTCCTTCTGAGAAATCTTCTCTGACAACCGTCCTCAACAGCTACTCTCCATCTCACTACCAGCTTCAGCTTCCCTCACAGCACTTACCACGGTCTGGCATTATACTACATATCTACATCTATTGATTGTCCTAACTTGTCTTGTTTAGCTCCCCAAAGAGACTATGAGCTCCATGAGGGCAGCGACTTTGTCTGGTTCTCTAAGGTATCACCAAAACCTAAAACAGCACCTGTCACATGGGAGGCACTGGATAAAAGTTTGCTGAGTGAATAAGAGCAGAAAAGGAACTCTAAGCCACAGCATCATACCCACAAGATGTTTAAAAGTTGACCTGTACACGTTTTGCAGTTTACATACTATGCTAGATGATTTGCCCTTGTCTTTGTTTTTCTTTCCCTTAATCTTCTCTGCTCAATGAGACTGGCCTGGAGGGCAGCCTCCAAGTGTTTTGTTTGTTTGTTTGAGACGAGTCTCGCTCTGTCACCCAGGCTGGAGTGCAGTGCCGCGATCGGGGCTCACTGCAAGCTCCGCCTCCCCGGTTCACGCCATTCTCCTGCCTCAGCCTCCCGAGCAGCTGGGACTACAGGCGCCCACCACCACGCCCAGCTATTTTTGTAGTTTTAGTAGAGACAGGGGTTTCACCATGGTAGCCAGCATGGTCTCGATCTGACCTCGTGATCCTCCCGCCTCAGCCTCCCAAAGTGCTGGGATTACAGGTATGAGCCACCGCGCCTGGCCTCCAAGTGTTATTATTATCCTGCACCCTGCACTGCACCTAGCCCAGTGGTTTTCAACCAGGGGCATTTTCCCCCGGAGAGCATTTGGCAATGTCTGGAGATTTTTTTTGTTGCCCACCTGGAGGTGGAGGGTGCTACTGGCCCCTAGTTAGTTGAGGCCAAGGATGCTGCAGAACTCCTAGGAACAGGACAGCCCCCACAACACAGTACCGAGCAGCCCAAAGTGTAAATACTCCTGTGGCAGAGAAACCCTCCCTCTAGACCAGTATCAGACATAATGTGAGTGCCTAAATAGCCGTTCATTGAATAATAAACTCTAATTTAATATCTTTAACATGACAATTTTCCTTTCATCTTTCTAAATAAGCAGCAATTTCTTCAATGCTCTTGAGTCTGAGGTTTTAGACAGAGTTTTGCAGTATGTGACACCTGAGTTATAAAATTGTATGTTTCATTGGAAATATCAGAGAAACTAAAACAGTATCTATTGGGTCTCATGATTTCATCTTACGTATGTTTCAATAACAAGTGTATTCCTTCTTTGAATGTACCAAGATCTTTTCCAACTCAAACAAAAACTACCATCTTATTACTTCCTCCTCCAGGATCTGCACCCTAATTCCCAGTGAATTAGGTGCACTCTGATGATGCCCAACCAATCGTCCACCGGTTTTTTATTTCCATGGGCCTAGGGACAGCTCAAGGATTAATTGTGCTTTTAAAATGCTGGATTAATTTTTATTTTTAAATGTTTCAGTAATACTCTGTTTTACCTGAATGGCATGAAAATAGTAGTGACTGACCAAAGGAGGTAGAAGTACTCACCACTGCTTTTCTAATCTGCGTAATACAAAATCTTATCTCATTTTCCTCACAGTGAGAAAAAGGTCAGGCTGTCTGTCAATTTCCTTTTTTTTTTTCTTTTTTTTTTTTTCCTTTTTTTTTGAGACGGAGTCACGTTCTGTCACCCAGGCTGGAGTGCAGTGGCGCGATGTTGGCTCACTGCAAGCTCTGCCTCCCGGGTTCATGCCATTCTCCTACCTCAGCCTCCCAAGTAGCTGGGACTACAGGCGCCTGCCACCAAACCTGGCTAATTTTTTTTTATCTGTAGTAGAGATGGGGTTTCACCATGTTAGCCAGGATGGTCTCGATCTTTTGGCCTCGTGATCCGCCTGCCTCAGCCTCCCAAACTGCTGGGATTACATGCGTGAGCCCCGCGCCTGGCCGGCTGTCTGTCAATTTCTATAACTGTCATCACCCCACCTCCACTCTGCACTTTGACTGTCTTACAGCTGCGAGGCAAAGTTGAAAAATTACAACCTGAACCACTTTGTGAAAATTTAGCTGCGAAACCAAAAATAGCTGAAAACCCTCCGGCTACTCCTGTGTTTATCATTCTTGCCCTACTAGCAGATAGCCTCTGTAGCTAAGGTTTCTCCCCCTTTTATTTAGAGTCTGTCAGAATTTATATCTTCTCCTCCAGGAGAGGATCCTGACCTGAATTAATGTAGTGTGAAATGAGAAGGGAGAAACAGATTAGAATGCATTTGGAACTATTCATTCTAGCCGCCCACAGGAGTTTTGTATTAGGAAAGGATGAAGATATATTCCAAACATTCTAAGCTAATAACTCCAGTGGTGCCCAAGGAGTGTTGAAGATCAACTACTCAAAGCATTATAGGAAGCAGCATTTCCAAAAATGATTCTAAGAACATTTCTCTTTTTATATACTATGAATCCAATAAGAAAAAGTGTTTCACGGAGTGTGTTAACCAGGGTTTCTCAGAAAGCAGAGCTTAAAGAACAGGCTTATTGGTACTCTTTTGTAACAATGTGCAATCCAGGCTGCAAAAGCTAGGGGCAAGGGCAGCGAGGTGGAAAGACGGGTTATTCACATAAGGAGGAGGCGATACTGAGCTGCCCGTGCCAAAGTGCAACCAACAGATTCTTGACTGTGTGGGGCCTTTTCCTGAGACGCCAATAAGCCCAGTCTCGGAAGTCAGTGAGGAGATGGAAAGAAAGAGAACACATCCAGCAGTTTGTCTCTCCCACAAGCTAAACCTTCCCCCAGGGGGCATGGCCTCCCCCACACTCCTAGATTACTCCTAGGTGGACACCAAGTGGGGTCTGGCAGCATACAAGACCTCCAACCCACTGTGTATTAGTCCATTTACACACTGCTATAAAGAACTGCCTGAGACTGGATAATTGATGAAGAAAAGAGGTTTAATTGACTCACAGTTCCATGGGCTTAACAAGAAGAGTGGCAGGGAGGCCTCTGAAAATTTACCATCATGGTGGAAGATGAACAGGAAGCAAGGACCTTCTTCACATGGTGGCAGGAGAGAGAGAGAGAGCAAGGTGGGGAAGTGCCACACTTTTAAACCATCAGATCTCATGAGAACTAACTCACTGTCACAAGAACAGCAAGGGGGAAATCTGCCTCCATGATCCAATCACCTCCCACCAGGCCCCTCCTCTGACACATGGGGATTACAATTCGGCATGAGATTTGGGTGGGGACACAGAAACAAACCATATTTCACTGGGAACCCAGTATGGTTTTCAACGATGCTTAGCTGACTTGTTTTCGTCCCATCTCAGTACACCTCCTACCTCTCCACACGCATGGTGATGAAAAAAAATTTTAACTAGAAAATTTTCATGTTGGCAAATGTCTGAAAAATCACCTACTCTGGGTCTACCTTTTACAAATGAGGAACCTCAGATTCAGACATCTGTATCTGCAGAATCTGGACATGTTGTTCAAGTAACTACGTGTAATTTAGAAATGTCTGGGGACTAGTTTATAAAGTATGCTAGGCCGGGCACAGCGGCTCACGCCTATAATCCCAGCACTTTGGGAGGCCGAGGTGGGTGGATCACAAGGTCAGGAGTTCGAGACCAGCCTGGCCAACATGGTGAAACCCCCACCTCCACTAAAAATACAAAAATTAGCCGGGTGCCTGCAATCCCAGCTACTCAGGAGGCTGAGGCAAGAGAATCACTTGAACCTGGGAGGCGGAGGTTGCAGTGAGCCGAGATCACACCACTGCACTCCAGCCTGGCTATAGAGCAAGACTCCATCTCGAAAAAAAAAAAAAAAAAAAAAGGGCCAGGCACAGTGGCTCATGCCTGTAATCCCAGCACTTCGGGAGGCCGAGACAGCCGGATCATGAGGTCAGGAGATCGAGACCATCCTGGCTAACACAGTGAAACCCCATCTCTACTAAAAATACAAAAAAATTAGCTGGACATGGTGGTGGGCGCCTGTAGTCCCAGCTACTCGGGAGGCTGAAGAAGGAGAATGGCATGAACCCGGGAGGCGGAGCTTGCAGTGAGCCGCGATCACGCCACTGCACTCCAGCCTGGGCGACAGAGCCAGACTCCATCTCAAAAAAAAAAAAATAAAATAAATAAATAATAAAAATAAATAAATAAATAAATTTTTTTTAAAAAGTGAAAGTGAGGCATTTATTGCAGGGGCCAAGCAAGGAGAATTGGGCAGGTCATGTTTAAGACCTGAACTCCCCAATGGCTTAAAATAAGGGCTTTTAAAGATAGGGAGGCAGAAGTTACAGACGAAGTCGTAAATCAATACATGAAGTCTCTACATTGGTTTGGACCCCAAAAGCCAAGTCATCTTCAAGCAGGTGGTGGGAGGGCCACAGGTCATAAGTGGATGCAAAGATGTTCTCCTCTGTGGATGGTTAACAGGTGACGCTTTGTCTAAAACTCTGGGGTCAGTAGAAAAGAATGTTAGCTCTGGCCACCAGGCCCCTCAGGAAAAAATTTATAACAAAGAAGAGTCAGAGTTCAGTCCCCAGTTCCCTCTTATCTGAGGTCCAAGAGCCATGGATGGCCTTTTTCATTTGGTGGGGTCCAGGTTTCTGAAAAACTACTCAGGGACACAGGTTAAGATGTTTTCTTTAGTTTCTGTAAGGCACCAAACATTTTGTGGCTGTAACTTCCTTGGGTATTGTTTGAAGCCACTATTACTTTCTTGCTTACCAAGTTGCTCATCTACTCCTCAGGACTAGCTGGGTGCCTCAACTTTCCCTTGAAGGAACTCAAGAATTTCCTTCATTTCCATGCTTGGGGGACCCGGCAGACCCCAAGAGGGATCCCTGCTCTGTCTCAAATGACAGAAAGTCTTCAAATTTTGTACGTCAAAATGACAATTAGCTAAAGTGAACTTGACAAGGGCTTCATATATCGAAACAGTATTTTCAAAAATAAAATAGACCAAAAACAGCAACAACAATTTTAAAAGATCACATCTTTCTATATTAGAAGCAGGTAATGTTAGATTCTGAGACAGGGCAAGGGCTAGTTACTATTTCGTTAGGCAAGAGGGCCGACAGCTCTGTGGCTGAAGCACATTGGAATGAAGGCCCCAGCCCCACCCAGCCCCTCTCTGGAGACAGCCGGGCAGCTCTTTGCACAGTGTCTGCCAAACAGCACATCAGTGTACGGCTCACCACGAAAAGATGCCAGGCAGGTCCAGCGGGGAGATTGAAAGTGGGGTTTTGGCAGCTTCAGAATTCTCGTTGTTTCAAACAGCCTAATAGATGTGCAAATTGAATTGAATCTCTCCGATGGGTCTGTGTCTGCAGAGAATCTGCAAGCTCTAAAAGGGGATTAAATTATATCAGTCAGAACTAGCTACTTATCTAATATGTTGGTTTTTAGTGGCAGTGGGTCCATGGCCAAATAAAATGGCACACTTGTTTTTTTTTGAAGGTGTTACAATTAATTGCCAGCAATAGAGCCTTTTTAAAAAAGTGAGACTTCTGAGACTTCTGGTTTTAGCTGCAACATGTAAGGAATTTAAAAGTTGTCACTACTGCCCTTACAATAAGAAAAAAGCTGAAAAAAATAGAAATTAATTACTTTTCTTGGACTTATCAGAGAATTGAGGTCACAGAGAGTGACCATAACCCCAGAATCTGGAGAGACAGACAAAATCACAGCTGAGATCAGCTTCCCGAGAGCAGAGGCTACTGGAGCCATAAACTAGCAGGAATACTAAAACGGTAATTGTGATGAATTGCTGTTGGCTGATTGTGGACCAGAGTGTGGGGAAGAAAACCCTGAAGGCTACAACATTGAGACGACCTCACTGCTTCTGTGGGTGTTACCTCCAGAAACCCCACCAGGTTCTCACAGTAAAAAGCAAAGAAACATCACTTCCTGCCTCTGTCAGCGGGAGGGAAAAAGTAGTGGCTTTGAAATATGCCCAGAGCATTTTCCATAACAAAAGCCTAGTCTCCAGGAGAAAAGATGTCACCAGAGCCTTATCTCACCTAGGAGGAAGGGCATTTCCCCCACTTGAGCCCCCTTTAGATTTCCTGTCTCATCAAGAGTGAGGGGTTGGAGTGGGGGACACACAAAACTTGTGAAGATCACATCCAGGGTCAGGAGTTACATAAAACTAAGATTTGATCCTCAGATTATAAACACTTACCCTCACTTTCTCTCCCCTATACCTTATCATTAATCAACAGGGCTCCATCACAATAATAGTGGAAAACAGCTGAAAAGGCCACAAAGCACAATTCTTACGAAAAACTAAAGACAATAGGAGAGAAAAACAAGGACACCAGAGAAATCTGAAGCCTTAGCTACAGCTACAGCAGGCACTAAACTCAGCCGGCTTTCAGCCAGATTAATAGAAAACCTCACACTACAGGCCTCTTTCCTTCGGTTCCTTTTGTCCAATATATCAAATGTGGCTTTCAACAAAAAATTATAGGGCTACTAGAAGTTAAGAAAAAACAGTCTGAAGAGACAAAGCAAGCATCGGAAGCAGACTCAGATATGACACAGGTTTTGGAATTATTAGACAGGGAATTTAAAATAATAGGCTCTGATGATAAAAGTAGACAACATGCAAGAAAAGATGGGTAATGTAATCACAGAGATGGAAAATCTAAGAAACAATCAAAAAGGAAATTATAGAAATAAAATAACCACTAATCGAAGTGAAACTGCCTTTGATGGGCTCATCAATAGACTAGATGTGGCCAAGGATAGAATCAGAAATCTTGAAGACATGTCAATAAAAACTCCCCAAACTAAAATGAAGAGAAGAAAAGAATGAAAAACACAAACAGAAAATAATATTCAGCAACCGTGAGAAGATTCCAAATGGTATAACCTAGCATAATTAAAATAATGGAGAAAAAAGATAGATCATTTTCCAAAATTAATGACAGACACCAAATCACAGATCTGGGAAGCTTAGAGAATACCAAGCAGGATTTAAAAAAAAAAAAAAACCTATGCCTAGGTATATCATGTTCAAACTTCAGAAAACCAAAACAAAGAGAAAATATTGAAAGATGCCAGAGGAAAAACACCTGACTCATAGAAGTACAAGGATAATAATTACAGTGAACTTCTGGCCAGAAATATGGGAGTAAGAGAAGAGTGGAAGTGAAATATTAAGGTAAAGTAAAAATAAAGAGGTGGAGAAAGATATACCATGATAACACTAATCAAAAGACAACTGGAGTAGCTGTATTAATTTCAGACAAAGCAGTCTTTAGAGAAAGGAAAATTATCAGGTTTAAAGATGAACATTGCAAAATGATAAATGATTCAGTTCTCTAAGAAGGCATAACAATGCTTAATATGTATGCACTTCACAACAAAGTACAAAATACAGGAGTCAAAACATGATAGAACTGCAAGAAGAAACAGGCAAGTCCACTATTAGAGTTAAAGGTTTCAACACCCCTCATTCCGTAATTGATAGATTCAGCAGACAGAAAATCAATAAGAATATAGTTGACCTGAATAATATTATCAATAAATTTGACCCAATTGACATTTATAAAATAATCTCTTCAATAACAGCAAAATACACAATCTTTTCAAGCTTACATGGGACATTCACCAAGACCATTGTCTATAAAACAGACCTCAACAAGTTTAAGAGGCCAGAAATCATACAAAGTATTTTCTCAGGCCATGATGACATGTAACTAGAAATCAATAACAGAAAAAGAGCTGGAATCCTCAAATATTTAGAGATTAAACAGCACACTTCTAAATAACACAAAGATCAAAGAAGAAATCTCAAGAGAAATCAAAAAATATTTTGAATAAATGAAAATATACAACTTATCACAATTTGTGAGATCCAGTAAAAGCAGTTTTTAGAGAAAAAATTATACATTGAATGCATAGTTCAGAAAAGAAGAAAGATCCAAAAAATTGTTTTAAATCTAAGCATCTACTATAGGGACTAGAGAAGGAAGAGTAATTTAAGCCTGAAGCAACCAGGACAATGAAAATAATAAAAATTAGAGCAGAAATCAATAAAATTAAAAACAGAAAAATAATAAAGATCAGCCCGGGTGTGGTGGCTCATGCCTGTAATCCCAGCACTTTGGGAGGCCGAGGTGGGTGGATCACGAGGTCAGGAGTTCAAGACCAGCCTGGCCAACATAGTGAAACCCTGTCTCTACTAAAAATACAAAAATTAGCCGGCCATGGTGGCGTGTGCCTGTAATCCCAGCTACTTGGGAGGCTGAGGCAGGAGAATCACTTGAACCTGGTAGGCGGAGGTTGCAGTGAGCCTAGATTGTGCCACTGCACTCCAGCTTGGGCAACAGAGTGAGACTCTGTCTCAAAAATAGTAATAATAAAATAATAATAAAGATCAGTGAAACCAAAAGTTAGTTCTTTGAAAAGAAAAAGAAAATTGATAAACCTCTCACTAAGATAGCAAAGAAAAGAGAAGACACAAATTACTAACACCAGAAACGAAAGACTGACTTCTGATCAAATATTAAATATATATGTTATCAAAAACTCTATACTCACAAATGTGTTAACTTAGGTAAAATGGCTGAGTTCCTTAAAAATACAAACTACCAAGACTCACACACTAGAAACAGATACTCTGAATAGGTCCATATATGTTAAGAAATTGAATTAATAACTAATAATGGCTTACTAAAAGAGAAAGAACTAAGACTAGATTTTGCCACTGGTGAATTCTACAATACATTTAAGGAAGAATGTACACCAATTCTCTACAATCTCTTCCCAAAAATAGAAGCAGAGGGAATACTTTCTAACTCATTCTATGAGGTCAGAATTACCCTGCTGATTTTGATATTTTATCAGAATCAAATAAATAAACAGGAAGGAAAATTTCACAAAAATTAACTCAAAATGGATTATGTACCTTAAAGTAAAACACAAAACTATGAAGCTAGAAAAAAAATTGGAGAACATCTGAGTGTCCTTTGGGTTAGCTTTGAGTTCTTAGATATAACACCAAAAGCATAGTCCATGAATTAAAAAATGGGTAAGTTGGACTTAATTAAAATTAAAAATGTCTGCTCTGTGAAAGACACTGTTTCTTGTTTTTTGTTTTTAAGACAGAGTCTCGCTCTGTCACTCAGGTTGGAATGCAGTGGCGCGATCTTGGCTGCCTCCTGGGTTCAAGCAATTCTCCTGCCTCAGCCTCCCAGGTAGCTGGGACCACAGGCGCCTGCCACCACGCCCGGCTAATTTTTGTATGTTTAGTAGAGATTGGGGTTTCACCATGTTGGCTAGACTGGTCTCGAACTCTTGACCTCAGGCTATCTGCCAGCCTTGGCCTCCCAAAGTGCTGGGATTACATACGTGAGCCATGGCACCCAGCCAACACTGTTAATAAAAATAGCCACAGATCTGTAGCTGCCATCAGTTTCAAAATGAAGATTAGCTCAATCTTTAAACATTTTCAGAGATTCATGATATCATTAAACTTGAGTCAATCCAGACAATTGAGTAAATACCCATGGCCACAACAGTCATTTTATTATATCGATGACATACTTTTTAAAATTACAACCTTTCCTTTGTTAGATGTAAGAATTTTTGCTATAGTTTTCATATTTTGCTCTCACTTTTAGAAGTACTTGATTAATATCTAACATTATATTAGCAAAATTATAAGCATTTTTGTGAGCTCTTGGTGAGAAAATAACACTGGAAATACAGTGATGTAATCTGAATTCAACTCCTACTTTGTCATTTCCCAGCCATGTGACACTCGGAGATCCATTTCTTCTCACTGGCTCTATGCACTTCACCTATGCAATGGTGGTGAGAAATGCAATGATATGCAAGGTCTCCACTATCCCAAACACCCTATGATTCTATTCATCACATCATTTTGATAAATGTAATTGACATGTATATGAGTTGTTCAGAAATGGTAACCATTATTAGAAAAACCACTGTCACTCATTCAATCCAGACTTACTGTGAATGAGTTATTGTTCTGAGCACTGAAGTAATGGAATGATGTTGAATAAACAAGGTATGCTGCCTGACCCCACAAAGCTTACACTCTATTGGGCATATCATACTCGAGTAATGAAAACACAAGACCAGACATTTTGAATGGAAACAGCCATAGGTAGGATAGGAGCACAGAAGAGTTCATTCCAATTAGATGGAATGTAAGGGAAAGGGTACACAGAGAAATCTGTTTCTCTAATACTAAGTATTTGCAAAATGATTTATGAGCACTGATAGTAATAACATTGTATGAATAGTAAGGCTTTTAACTTATTAAAATACCTACTTCTGATCATTGTTCCCTCATAACAGTGTCTTAAAATAGAGAAGGCAGCCATGATCAGCACCATTTGAAATAGGCAGAAACTGAGACTAAAGACAGTTAAATACATGACATGATTTTATAATTACTGGCTAAAGTGAGGTCTGAAACTTAAGATCCAGCTATGGTCACTGCTCACCCCTTCCCTCTGTAGAGAGACATTATTCCAGATGTGACTCAGTCCCCCTGGGAACTTGATTAAGTTTCCACTTCAATTGGATGAAGTGCCCACGTTGAGCACAGCTGACTCTTATGCTCATAACTAAACCATCCTTATTGTAGCTATAAAGTAATGAGATGCTAATATGTAATTTATCTCTTACAACTACTATGCAAACTTAGTTTCCTTATTGCCATTTTAAACATGAAGGAACTAAACTCAGACAAATGATGCAACTTGCCAAAGCCCCTCATGCAGCATGGAGCAGAGCTGGCTCTGTCCACCTCTGCGGCTCACTGCTCTCTCTAGGGTCTCTGCCCAGCTTATCACATGCACTCTGCCTTCAAGACCCTCGACAAATCCACAGGATCAGTGGGCAGGAATTCACGGGCAGAGGGGATTGAGGGAGGATACTCCCAAGGACAGGCCCAAAGCTAACTCCCGCCATGTATGCTAAACCAAAAAGGTGCAGAGAGGCTTTTAGAAAAAAATGTCACCTTACAATTATTTGAGTGTTTCTAGTGTGAATTCTGGATGCATAAATAATAGTAATAATCATAATAACAACTTGAGTTCTGACATGAACAAAATGGAACTGTACTGGTCAGAAGGAATTC